>NT_187547.1:0-195710 GCF_000001405.40 Homo sapiens | reverse complement strand
CTCCAAATGCTTCCAAAAATACTCATTGACAATTCAAGTTGCACTTGGCTGGCGGCAGCCCGGGCGGCCTTCAGTCCGTGTGGGGCGCCCGCGTGGCCTTCTCCTCGTAGGACTCCCCAAACTCGTTCACTCTGCGTTTATCCACAGGATAAAGCCTGCAATGACACAAATGAGCACATCAGCAAACCCCACTGCAGGGGCTATTTTTCTAAGAGGAGGACTTGGCATCCTCGATTTATTTTCCAGTGAGCTGCCACAGTGAGCAAATTAACTAAAAAGTCGAATCCTCAGAAGTTTTACTGCCGAGGGCTGAGGAGGGATTTCTGAGTTGTGTTTTGTTCTGCATGGCCAGGCCAGCGTGCTGCTCTCAAGGAAAGGGAAGCTTGGCCGAAGGGACGACCCGGAGGCTGCACGGGCTGCCATGGCTGAAGGGGGGACCCGGAGGCTGCACGGGCTGCCTTCTGGGAACGGTGGCATCACGGAGACTCGAGTGATCAGAACAGGAACCGCTGTGTTCAGGGACCACGTCTCATCAGCTGTGAACACTTGGCAGGACACTGCCGCCGCCTTTGATCCTGAGCGCCCCGGAGGCCTTGCCAACATCACCCCTACGTATGGATGAGGAAGCTGTGGCATAAGGGGCAGCTCTACACGGCCGCGAACAGAAGTACAGGGTTTCAGCTTAAAAACAGACCTGCTGCCCACCAAGGGCCCTGTGATCCTGGCCAAACACCGTTTGCAGGTCTGGAGCCATTAACACAGAGCCTGAGTACAGCACAGTTTCAGGCACGCCCCGGGCCACCTGCGAGGACTTGGGAGCCACTTGAAGGGCTCACAGTTGAGACAACCACACCAGGCGCAGCAGCGTCCGGGGCTCCGTGGCTTGGACAACCTCAGGCTCTGCAGGGGGCAGGCGGCCAGCTGGGGGATCTGAGAATGGTGAACGGGGGACAGGAACCAAGCCCCGTGTGAGTGTGAGTGTTGCTTATGGTGAAATAGCCCTTCCCGCTGACACAAGCTGGAGCTCCCGTGCAGGGGCTGCACGAGACAGCAACAGGGTGGGGGGGGGCAGCCGGCGGCCAGGCCTGGAGAGCTGGGCAAGGGCGGCCATGAGCCACTGTGTGGATGTGCCAACTGCACCCGAACAAAGAGTTAAACCAGGCAGAACCATGCCAGCCTCATGCTGGCTGGGACAGAGGCTCTGAACACCTGGCGAGGTTGAGTGTGGAGACAGGGCGGGGACGGGAGCACTGCGCTCCCCAAGGGCCGGCACCCCGGACCTAGGCAGGACCCGCCAGGACGGCCTGGGGGAAGAGGATCCCTCTCCTGCACTAGTAGGATGGCCCCAGGCCCTGAGGGAAGGGCACAGGGAAGTGTCACAGCCGTGGTGTGTGAGGTGGCCTCCTGGTCGGGGGAGGGAGATGGGAAAAGGGACCTTGAGGGCCAGAGAAAGGACACAGCCAGGAGGCTCTGAGACACTTGGCAGCAGGTCTTGGGGGTGACACACACTCCTTCGACCCCTGGACAAGGCCCTGGGGCCGGCACTGGAGGTGAGGGCAGTGCTTGCAGTGGTCCAGATGCAACCCTCCCGAGGGGAGCCCCAGATCCCTGGCTCCTACCCTGGCACAGCAGAGCTGGAGGGAGGTTTTGCTGACTGAGAGGGCAGATGTCAGCCCTGGAGGGAAGCGGGAGGCCCAGGGTGGGGCCTGAGCCTCTGCATTTGGAAAATTCCGAGGCCCGGGGTGGGGCCTGAACCTCTGCCTTTAGAAAATTCCACAAAGCCTTTTCCTCAGCCGTCAGCCTTCAACCTGAAGGCCAAGCTGAGAGGTCCACGCAATGCAGTCTTCAGAGGCCCTGGTGGCTGGTTTAAGGGGTGCGGCCAATGCTGAGGTGAGTGAGCTCCCCAGTGACATTGTGCCCTGCAGGTCCACACTGCTGGCTGGACACTTCGAGGCTAGCGCCAAGTATGGATTAGCCATGCTACGGTCTCTGTTCTGCTCAATAGCAATGACTGTGAATAGGTAAATAAATCGCTTAAGGAGAGACATTTGCTTTCAGTGGCTCATCAATAATTCACATAGAAACGAGCATTTCTAAAGCACAGTGAGGAGACAGAGCTGGAACAGTTTCTTGCCAGGACATATCATGGGCAACTGGAACCCAAGTTTAGGCAAGACAGGAAAAACCACCACCTGCAAATTATCTTTTCCCTCAAATGGATAAACAGGCGCAGGGTGCGGTGAAAGCCGTCATTCCGTTCAGCAGCAGCCACGCCGCTGAGACGGAGCAACGGCCGAGCATACGCAGCCGCACTCACCACCGCTGGTACAGGTAGACCAGAAACACCACGTCGTCCCGGAAGCAGGCCAGCCGGTGAGACGTGGGCATGGTGATGATGAAGGCAAAGACGTCATCAATGAAGGTGTTGAAAGCCTGCAGGGCCAGACGGGAGGAGGGTGAACCCCAGTTGCTGGGGCTGGAATCCTACTGTTTTTGGTAACCTAACCAAGCCAACGGCTTTTGGCAGATGCTTGGAACTAACTGGAACTCCTCACAGCAACAACAAAAAGAGCAGAAAGCCGGCAAGTGGAGATACGGAGCTCTGTTCCCTCATGGGCTCCCCACAGCTGCTGGCACCCGACACACTGCGGGTCTTGCCCAGGCTCCCACATCGGGGAACCCAAAGAGAATGGCCTGAAACCAGAGCCAAGGCTGGAGCCGCCCGAGACAGAGCCAAGGGCAGAGCCACCTGAGACCAGAGCCAAGGTTAGAGCCGCCCGAGACCACAGCCAAGGGGAGAGCCAAGGGCAGAGCCACCTGAGCATTGCCCTTTCCTCTGGGAGCTTGTAATTGACTTCAGAAAAGTGCAAATCATGTCCCATTAACTCAGCTCCGCCTGCAATGCCGAGGCACTTCTAATCCCACACGGAGCCAAGGGGGCCTCCACAGCTCTGCCAGCGGGGAATGGCCACGGCCCATGGGGGCTTCCATTCCTGCCTGGGAGGCCTGAATCCGTTGTCCCCAGGCACCGGTTACTGAGCCACAGGGGGTCTGTGTCTTGACACATGTGCTAAGAAGAAACATAAACACTAAAAAAGAAAAAGAAAACCAAATCTGTGACAAGTGAGAGAACCACCCCAGTCTTTCAGGGTCTGAAGTTACTCTATAGCTCTTCGCTTTTTTTTTTAAAGGAGCCTCCTCAATATTCTTCAATGAAAGGGACAGGTGCAGATGCACTCTGGGCAGAGATGGCCCCAGTAATGCTGTTGGCTGGAAGACGCCCTTGCTCACGCTCTGCTCAGTGAGAAGGGATTCCTCACCGGCTGTCACACTCACCTTGTAGGTGAAGGCCTTCCAGGGCAGATGTGCCACTGACTTCAACTGAAACAGGAGAGACAGGCCCAGGTCAGCTGTGGGCAGCACAGGAGACGGGGGCCGGGCCGCGGGCAGCACACACCGCCTTACCTTGTAGTTCACAAAGAGCTGGGGCAGCATGAAGAGGAAACCAAAGGCATAGACCCCTGCAGAAAGACAGACAGCACTCACGAGGTGCGGAGGGCCGGGCTGCCACATCTACGCACAGACGGCACTCACGAGGTGTGGAGGGCCGAGCTGCCACGTCTATGCATAGTGGGCAGAAAACAAGGTCTGCTATCCAGACAACTTCAGAGTCCATCATGGTGTGAAGCAGCTTTCTGGCTGGTAAGTTTATCAAGAGTCTACGACAACTTTGGAGAGCAAAGCTCTTCTATTTATTAATCAGTGTAACTGCTGCCCACGGGGTCAAGTCAGTGAGAGCACTGGAGCACCCTGGGGCTATGAGGACACGGCCTCCTGACCCACAAGGTCCTGCCCCAGGGGTCAGGTGTGGGACTCCTACCAGGGAGGACGGCAGTGCGGGACCCACCTGCTCTGCACCAGACAGGCCCTCGCCCTTAATGCTCACGGGACCACTTCCCAAAGAGACCACAAAGCTGCGATCAGGGCTGGTCTGGTGGGGCTGGGGGATGGACACAGCAGCCCATGCAGCTGAAGGTGCCACCTGGGGCAGGCGGGCCTCCCAGGACATGTGGCCCCGAGCACAGGGCCCTGCAGGGTCCCCACACTGCATCTGCAGGAGGGGGCGCGCCGTGCACCAGAGCCTGGTGCTTCCATTTGCTCTAAGGAACCAGACGTGGATGGTGTTGTTTTAATGCTTAGGTTTCCTTGTTTCCATGAAGAAAACAGACAACAGTCATGCACCACACAATGCTGTTTTCATCAGCGATGGACACATATACCAGGCGGCTGCACCACACAGCCTGGCGTGGAGGGGCTGCCACATCTGGTG
Source organism: Homo sapiens (assembly GCF_000001405.40). NCBI lineage: Eukaryota > Metazoa > Chordata > Mammalia > Primates > Hominidae > Homo > Homo sapiens. The sequence continues at coordinate 191,380 of NT_187547.1, read as the reverse complement.
TGAGCACTCCCTGTCGCTTGTACAAGGACCTGTTTCTCAGAACCAGTCACTGTTGTGAAGCCACGCAGGGCTTTATCTGCTCACAGCCTGGGGGGAGCCCTGGGCACCGCACATGTGCCAGAACAGGGTGGGGAGGGATTAGCCTCAAATCACAGGGGGGCTTGCCACACTGGGTTTCAATGCAAGAACAATTAAATCGCTGCCTGCTGGAAACACTAGTACTGAAGCAGGGAAGCACATGGACTCACCGTTGACGAAGCTGTTGATTAACCAGGAGTACCAGCTGAAACGGAAAAAAAAGGAGAAGTCCTATTTCTCGCATAGCTTAATATCTGTATTAAATTGATGAAAAATAATTCTTTCATTAAAAATCCTCTGAAAATACCCAGATGCTCTCACGGCAGCTCGGCAGCCAAGAGCAGCAGTGCTGAGCCTGGTTCTCAAGCTGGAGATAGCGCTGAGCACCCCCGGCCGGGCAGCAGAGGCCGGGCACTCCAGGAACCCCTCAGCTCAGGGCCAGCACCCCACCTGGGCAGCAGAGGCCAGGGGCTCCAGGACCCCTCTCAGCTCAGGGCCAGCACCCTGCCCGGGCAGCAGAGGCCGGGCACTCCAGGAACCCCTCAGCTCAGGGCCAGCACCCCACCTGGGCAGCAGAGGCTGGAGGCTCCGGGATCCCTCTTGGCTCAGGGCCAGCAGCCCACCTGGGCAACAGAGGCTGGGGGCTCCGGGATCCCTCTTGGCTCAGGGCCAGCACCCCACCCGGGCAGCAGAGGCTGGAGGCTCCAGGACCCCTCTCGGCTCAGGGCCAACACCCCACCCAGGCAGCAGAGGCCGGGGGCTCCGGGAACCCTCTCAGCTCAGGGCCAGCACCCCACACGGGCAGCAGAGGCCAGGGGCTCCAGGACCCCTCTCAGCTCAGGCCCAAGCCTCCCATGAAGCCTGGTGGCTGGAGTCAGTCCTCTCAGCTACACCTTACCAGGGGGACACTGAGGCCCAGAGCCCACCGTGTGCAGCTGCAGGGGCAGGACCCCTCCCAGGCGCTGGCCCAAGTGCCCCGGCCCCGAGTTTGCCCTCCAGTCGCACCCCGCTCTGGCTCAGTCATCCAAATGGCTTTCTCAGGGGAAAGACGCAGCAGGGGAAGCGTGTGCGGCCTCCTACCTCTTATATTTGATATTCAGGAGTGAATAGACAGCACCCCCGACACAGAGAGGGTACAGCAGGTATGACAAGTACTTCATGGCCTGCAGGGAACAAAGATGGCTTCCAGTTAGAGGCCCAAACGCCAAGCCTCTGTAAACACACTGCATGGAGCTCACCCCGACAGGGACAGACAGAACGAGCTACAGCGCTCAGGGTGGCAGGGCTGCTCTGCAGGGGGCGGCGTGAGGGGCACAGGCAGGGCATCGCACACTCGCCACAGCCCCAGGAGGCACCGCACACGCCAGAGCCCGGGTGTAACTACAGGCGCTAGTTAACAATAATAGATCAATTCTGGTTGGTCAAAACCAACCAACCCACAACAGATCAATAAACATAATGGAAAGAAACCGGAAAAAACTGCCTACTAAGTAATGTAGTTACATCGCCAGCTGTATCCATTCTGATTTCAGCTTTACAACGCCATGCAAGTTGGATATAAGCTGGTGAAGATTAAACCAAACTAAAATCATCTGTGCAGAAATGTTCTATTAACTGGAACTGAGAATTCCAGCTCCCCCAACAGCAATGGGGAAAGGTGACGCCCTGTGCTGCTGGGGCCATTCCTCCAGGCCACTGTGCGGCCGCGGCCATTATGGCCTTGGTGACGGCAAGTGCGTTCCCAGCAACCACAGCAGACACCATGGCCTGCGTCAGCTGCCTGGCGAATGTGACTTACAAACGATGAAAATATCCCTACTATACGGTGACACAGGCAGGCTGTGCCTGTAAGGACTGGGAAATGAGTCTCTGCGAGCCCCCGCCCTTCCCAGTAAGAAATTTGGGTTTTATGTGTTCACTCTTGGGATCCCTGCTCAAGGCGGGCTGACCCGTACTCCAAGGAGACTTCCGCACTGAGCAATGACAGTAAAAGACCCGTCTTTGAGGGTGTTGGATTTGCCTGGCATGCACGTGCCCTGAATCACAAGTGACTTACCTGAGTATCGTACTCCTCGGTTTTCCTCTCAGATTCGCTGTAAGTGCCAAACTGTTGTGAAATTCAACACAGTGATATTAATAGACTCAGGGAGGATCTGAGCACAGCTGAGCTGTGACTAAGGGGCGTCACATATGGCTGCAGAGCTGACCCAGGCCTCACTACAGAGGGCGCTCAGGTCCCTACCAGGCGAGGAGAGGACCCAGAGGACGGGGATCCGCATGGATCCTTCCCGCCTCACCCTGGCCCTGGGTCCCACAAGCCTGATGGGGGCAACGCGGCCTCACTGCTGTTCCTTGCTCAGGTGGCTCAGTTTTCAGTGCCACCGCTTCAGTGAGAACACTGCAGAGCACACAGGCACAGCCAACACTGCTCCGAACCAGCCGGCCGGGAGCCATGGGGCAAGGTGGAACACAGTGGCTGCGCTGCGTGTGCTGGGCTTCCTGACCCCCCTGCCCACAGCATGGAAAATCTCAGCCTGTGACTGCTGAGGGCCCCGCCTCAATCAAGGTCCATCCGTGGGCACTGAGATTCAACTCCAGCTCTGCCCCAGCCCTCATCTGCCTAGGGGCCTTATGGGCGCCCAGGCACTGGGGCAGCCACCAGCTCAGGGCAGGGGCTCACTCACTTCAGGACTGCCAGGACTGTACGGACCCCAGTCAGCACCAGCCTCGGGAGCGCCTCTGGACAAGGTGCCAAAACGAAGCACACGTGCTGGCCAGCCAGCATCCTTCCTCCCAGAGGCCGGCTCAGGCCCAGAAGTGCTGCCGTCTGCACTGAAGACGGTCAGAACTAGGTATATGACCGGGGAATCCTCAGGCGAAGAGAGTGGCTGCGATCAGAAACCAGTGCTGCCTCCACCACGGAGGCTCCCCTGACAGAGGCCCGCAGTGACTCATCTGCAGATGGCCATCTTACTCTTTGCACAGGGGGCAAAATCACACTCTTCAGAGAGGCTTGGGGTTCAGCCATTACAACTAAATCCTACCTGAAATTCGGGCATCAGGCCTCTCCAAAAAATAGTCATCTTCAATGCCTTCTTCACTTTCCACAGCTGAGGGGAGAAATCAGGAAATAGTTCCTTTAATATTCGAAGGCCAGGAGCCACGAATGAACGACCCAGACAGTAACGGGTAGGACCTGCTGCCCATGGCCCCGCGCAGCCCACTGTCCTCTTCCTGTCCCTCCCACAGCTCAGGCCAGAGCGCTGGAGGCTGGACCTGGGCCTCTAACCCACACACGGCAGGCGTACCTGGTCAGGTGGGCTGCACAGCCACCGCCCAGCGGACAACAAAAACAGCATGTGAGGGCAGTTCTTTACGCCACTCTGCCTGCACCCAAATAAGCCCCCACCTACTTCTGCCTGCCACTCGGGCAGCCCTGGAGCCAGTTTTGGGACCGCTCTGAGAGCCGCCACCTCATGGCTAAATGCTTGGAAGGCATCACCCACGGAGCTCAGGACGGGTGCCAGAGCCGGGCACGGCACTGTGACTCGTACCTATGGAGGGACCCTGCCTGTGGAGCTCCAGCGTCATTTCATCCAGCTCCTCCTCTACAGGGACATTCCATCCAGCTCCTCCTCTACAGACACATTCCATGCAGCTCCTCCTCTACAGACACATTTCATCCAGCTCCTCCTCTACAGACACATTTCATCCAGCTCCTCCTCGACAGACACATTTCATTTCATCCAGCTCCTCCTCCACAGACACATTTCATCCAGCTCCTCCTCTACAGGGACATTCCATCCAGCTCCTCCTCTACCGACACATTTCATCCAGCTCCTCCTCTAGACACATTCCATCCAGCTCCTCCTCTACAGACACATTTCATCCAGCTCCTCCTCTACAGACACATTTCATCCAGCTCCTCCTCTACAGACACATTTCATCCAGCTCCTCCTCTACGGGGACATTCCATCCAGCTCCTCCTCTACGGGGACATTCCATCCAGCTCCTCCTCTACGGGGACATTTCATCCAGCTCCTCCTCTACAGGGACAATCCATCCAGCTCCTCCTCTACAGGGACATTTCATCCAGCTCCTCCCCTACAGGGACATTTCATCCAGCTCCTCCTCGACAGACACATTTCATCCAGCTCCTCCTCGACAGACACATTTCATCCAGCTCCTCCTCTACGGACACATTTCATCCAGCTCCTCCTCTACGGACACATTTCATCCAGCTCCTCCTCTACGGACACATTCCATCCAGCTCCTCCTCCACAGGGACATTTCATCCAGCTCCTCCTCTACAGGGACATTCCACCCAGCTCCTCCTCTACAGGGACATTCCACCCAGCTCCTCCTCGACAGGGACATTCCACCCAGCTCCTCCTCGACAGACACATTCCATCCAGCTCCTCCTCTACAGACACATTTCATCCAGCTCCTCCTCTACAGGCACATTCCATCCAGCTCCTCCTCTACAGACACATTCCATCCAGCTCCTCCTCTACAGACACATTTCATCCAGCTCCTCCTCGACAGACACATTCCATCCAGCTCCTCCTCTACAGGGACATTTCATCCAGCTCCTCCTCTACAGACACATTCCATCCAGCTCCTCCTCTACAGACACATTCCATCCAGCTCCTCCTCTACAGGCACATTCCATCCAGCTCCTCCTCTACAGGCACATTCCATCCAGCTCCTCCTCTACAGACATATTTCATCCAGCTCCTCCTCTACAGGGACATTCCATCCAGCTCCTCCTCTACAGGGACATTTCATCCAGCTCCTCCTCTACAGGGACATTCCATCCAGCTCCTCCTCTACAGGGACATTCCATCCAGCTCCTGCTCTACAGGGACATTCCATCCAGCTCCTCCTCTACAGACACATTTCATCCAGCTCCTCCTCTACAGACACATTCCACCCAGCTCCTCCTCTACAGACACATTTCATCCAGCTCCTCCTCTACAGACACATTTCATCCTGCTCCTCCTCTACAGGGACATTTCATCCAGCTCCTCCTCTACAGGGACATTCCACCCAGCTCCTCCTCTACAGGGACATTCCACCCAGCTCCTCCTCTACAGACACATTCCATCCAGCTCCTCCTCTACAGACACATTCCATCCAGCTCCTCCTCTACAGACACATTTCATCCAGCTCCTCCTCTACAGGGACATTCCATCCAGCTCCTCCTCTACAGACACATTCCATCCAGCTCCTCCTCGACAGACACATTCCATCCAGCTCCTCCTCTACAGACACATTCCATCCAGCTCCTCCTCTACGGACACATTCCATCCAGCTCCTCCTCTACAGACACATTCCATCCAGCTCCTCCTCTACAGACACATTCCATCCAGCTCCTCCTCTACAGACACATTCCATCCAGCTCCTCCTCTACAGACACATTCCATCCAGCTCCTCCTCTACAGACACATTCCATCCAGCTCCTCCTCTACAGACACATTCCATCCAGCTCCTCCTCTACAGACACATTTCATCCAGCTCCTCCTCTGCAGACACATTCCATCCAGCTCCTCCTCTACAGGATACATTCCATCCAGCTCCTCCTCTACAGGATACATTTCATCCAGCTACTCCTCTACGGACACATTTCATCCAGCTCCTCCTCTACGGACACATTTCATCCAGCTCCTCCTCTACAGGGACATTTCTTCCAGCTCCTCCTCTACAGACACATTCCATCCAGCTCCTCCTCTACAGACACATTTCATCCAGCTCCTCCTCTGCAGACACATTCCATCCAGCTCCTCCTCTACAGACACATTTCATCCAGCTCCTCCTCTGCAGACACATTTCATCCAGCTCCTCCTCTACGGACACATTTCATCCAGCTCCTCCTCTACAGACAGATTTCATCCAGCTCCTCCTCTACAGACACACTTCATCCAGCTCCTCCTCTACAGACAGTTTTCTTCCAGCTCCTTGTCTACAGACACATTTCATCCAGCTCCTCCTCTATAGACACATTCCATCCAGCTCCTCCTCTACAGACACATTTCATCCAGCTCCTCCTCTACAGGGACACTCCATCCAGATCCTCCTCTACAGACACATTTCATCCAGCTCCTGCTCTACAGACACATTGCATCCAGCTCCTCCTCTACAGACACATTTCATCCAGCTCCTCCTCTACAGACACATTCCATCCAGCTCCTCCTCTACAGACACATTTCATCCAGCTCCTCCTCTACAGGGACATTCCATCCAGCTCCTCCTCTACAGACACATTTCATACAGCTCCTCCTCTACAGAGACATTGCATCCAGCTCCTCCTCTACAGGCATGACGGCCGCAGAGGCCCCCACCCACAGGTGGGCCACCAACTGCAGAGACCTCAGACTCCGGCTCCTGCCGGTGTGGCACAGAGCTCAGTGAGGAGCTAGGCTTAAGCCTGGGCCCTCTCACCCTGAAGGCCATCGCCCCCCTCAAGGGTTTGCTCCTGAGCTGGTCTTGCCCCACGAGGCTCCCTTTTGGCCGGCTTTTCTGAGCTCCGGAACAACCAAGGCTGGACCACAGGGCACCGAGTGATTTCCGTCAGTGCCTACCTGGCCGCTGTGCTCAGATCTCCAGCCACAGCACGAGCCTCTCAAGGCCCCACGGTTTACACCTCTGCTTTGCACATGGTGGGATTTCTCAAGCACATGAAAACACTCTGTTTGGTGGACAGGGCCTCAGGCCTCTGCTTGGTGGACAGGGCCTCAGGACTCACCACTGCTTGGTGGACAGGGCCTCAGGACTCTCTGCTTGGTGGACAGAGCCTCAGGACTCTCTGCTTGGTGGACAGAGCCTCAGGACTCTCTGCTTGGTGGACAGGGCCTCAGGACTCTCTGCTTGGTGGACAGGGCCTCAGGACTCTCTGCCTGGTGGACAGGGCCTCAGGACTCTCTGCCTGGTGGACAGGGCCTCAGGACTCTCTGCCTGGTGGACAGGGCCTCAGGACTCTCTGCCTGGTGGACAGGGCCTCAGGACTCTCTGCTTGGTGGACAGAGCCTCAGGACTCTCTGCCTGGTGGACAGGGCCTCAGGACTCTCTGCCTGGTGGACAGAGCCTCAGGACTCTCTGCTTGGTGGACAGGGCCTCAGGACTCTCTGCTTGGTGGACAGGGCCTCAGGACTCTCTGCTTGGTGGACAGAGCCTCAGGACTCTCTGCTTGGTGGACAGAGCCTCAGGACTCTCTGCTTGGTGGACAGGGCCTCAGGACTCTCTGCTTGGTGGACAGGGCCTCAGGACTCACCACTGCTTGGTGGACAGAGCCTCAGGACTATCTGCTTGGTGGACAGGGCCTCAGGACTCACCACTGCTTGGTGGACAGAGCCTCATGAGCTGATACCACCCGAACACGCATTTCCTTGCTCTCCACTTGTTCAAAGCCTTTACACCCACTGCCTGCCATCCTACAGCTTCCAGAACACTGAGGCCATCGGGAACAAGCACACAGGCTTCCACAGAAGGTCTCAGGTCCCGGGGCTGAAAGCCTTTCCTGAGTGCGTGGAGGCACATGGACCTCAGACAGTTCAGGTCACTGCCCGGAACTCACCTCAATGGCGGCTCCAACACCCGCCGGGACCAGCACCAGCAGGCTCGTCTGCTCGTCCAGCAGGAACAGAAAGATGACCACGGTGCTGAAGCAGCGCCAGAGCACTGGGGACAGGATGGTCGGGCTGGGAGGGGGTGCAGGGCAGACCCCACCTGTGTTCCCCAAGTCACACACATACCCCCAGTCCCCCATCCCAACCCACCACGCCCAAGAAGCTTCAGGTACTCCCCAGTCCACGTCACCCCGTTTAAAAAGAACAATGAAGCATTCAGCAGCTAGGAAAGTGTTTGGAAGGCTGCTGAACTGAACAGCTGGCCCCACACCAGCTCCACAAACACGTGTCTGAGCCACACTTGCAAATGAGCATGGAACGTGGGCAGAGGTCGGATGACGGGGCCAGCACAGCTTTGCTTCCGGGCGTGTCTTATGCCAGTTCTGTGATAAGTGCGTGGCTTTTCAAGTCTGGATTTGTTTCCTCCCCAGCTGTACCTTAAGAACCACTCCAGCTTATTCAACACGTCTTCCTCCTCCTGCAAGCCCTGAGGGCAAGCAGGGGAAGCAGATCCATGGAGCCACAGGACAAACAGTGGTCAAGGCCACAGCCACTGTCTGCTGGCCACTCCAACCCAGGACGCCAGGAAAGGCATTAGGGTTAGGAGACAACAACGCAGAACACGGCACGGCCCCCAGGCAGCCAGGGCCACCTGCTTGGGCGTCTTTTCCATGCGAGAAAAACAACTTGTTCGGGTCTGATACTGGAGCCAAATGCTCCTCACTCCTAACCAACAGGACACACCCACTCCTCGTCCTCACACCCATCAACCACTCGCCCCTGTCCAGACCGCCGCTCCCCACCCCACTGTGACAACCTCCACCCCTGCAAGGTCAGGAGGACCCCTCACTCACTTGGGCCCCTTAAACCACGGCAGGCACCCTTGGCCAGGAACACTGGTCCCAGATCTTGGCAGGCCTCCTGCCTGGGCTGCCTGGCCTCAGGGGTCCCTGACTGCCCTACCTAACAGCTGCACACTGCCTGTCACTGCTGGGCACAGCACCACGGGCCTATTAACTGCCATCACCTGGCAGGCCCCACACGCCCAGGCCTGCGCTGGTCGGGGAAGGAACACCGGCGGGAGGACGGGGCGAGGGAACCAAGACAGGGGATGTGAGGCCCCAGCCCTGCTCAGCGCCCATGAGCAGCCGGGAAGGCTCGAGAGGTCCATGCATCTCACTCTCCACAGCCCAGACCCAGACCCCATGCACGCCAGAGTCCGCAGCCAGGCCCTGAGCTGTGCAGCCGCTGGAGGCCCTGAGCCGTGCAGCCTCTGATGGTCCCACCACAATTGCCGCAACGGCTCCCTGGGCTTTACGGTGCCTGGTCTCAGAGGCTTCTCAAGAGCCAAGCACACACCCGGGGCTGTGTCTGCAGCCAGCAGTGAGGCAGGCAGCCCTCTACCGCAGGCTCCAGTGAGCTCCCTGGGGCAGAGTATCTGAGCAGGGCCACGCTCGGGGGGCCTACCTGCCTTGGTGGACATGCCGATCATGCTCTTCTTCTTCTTCCAGAAACTGATGTCATTTTTAAAGGCCAGGAAATCAAAGAGAAGCTAGAGAGAACACACACGACAGCAACTCACATCTCCTGCTGTTTCCATCTCCTGTGAGACAGAGATAGAGGCTTCGTGTGTGACCGTGAGACTGCAGGTGTACTCAGCCTCAGGATGCATCAGGATAAGTGTCTACACTCGGGACCCATGCCTCTACGCGCCTGGCCTGCCATGTCAGAACCTAGAGTGCCCAGGCGGGCTTTGCAGGGGCACTTCTGAAATAATACGTACCTTTGACTTGAACTGCTGGAAAGGCCCCCAGGCAATTGGAGGCTCTGGATTCCCCTGGATCATGGGCCTGGCTGGGCACCCCTGCTCTCGGGTTGTGCCCACTCAGGGCAGCCTCATCTCTCAACTGTGCTAAAAACGCAAGGGCTGGGCATGGTGGCCCATGCCTGTGATCCCAGCTACTGCAAGGCCAAGGCCAAAGGACCACCTAAGCCCAGGGGTTTGAGACCAGCCTGGGCAACGTACTGAGACCTGTCTCCAAAAAAAACTTAAAAAAACCTAACCATGCATGATCTCATCCTTAGAGACACTGACCTTTTAATAAAAATCGTTTAATTCTCTAGTACGGCTTTGGAAAGTTTTAGCTTGACTGGCAGCCAAACTCCCAGGCACTCAGAACCAGTGCCGGCCGCACTCCTGGGTGCCGCCTAACCACAGGCCAGCCTAACAGCCACAAGGATGGCTCTCCCTAGCAGCTCAGCTCCACGAACAACAGTAAGAGCACAGCAGCCTTGCTTTACCCATGGTTTACTGTCCATGGTTTCGGTTAGCACGGAGCAGTGCGATGAGACAGATATTCTGAGAGTGAGACCACACCCACGTAACTTTATCACACTGTCCTGTCCTGTTTCTGTTACCAGTTATTGTGGGTAATCTCTTACTGTGCTTAACTTATAAATTGAACTTTATCAAAACCATTACATAATACATATATTCATTCATTACGTTATTTGATACACATATTCAGACATCCAATGAGGGTCTTTGAACACACCCCCTGAGGATGAGGGACTACTGTATAACACCAGATGAGGATAAGGGGCGGACTACTGTATATACACTGGATGAGAACAAGGGGGGACTACTGTATACACACGGGATGAGGATAAGGGGGGAATACTGTAGACACACCGGATAAGGGGGGACTACTGTATACACACCGGATGAGGATAAGGGGGGACTACTGTATACACACCGGATGAGGATAAGGGGGGACTACTGTAGACACACCGGATAAGGGGGGACTACTGTATACACACCGGATGAGGATAAGGGGGGACTACTGTATACACACCGGATGAGGATAAGGGGGGACTACTGTAGACACACCGGATAAGGGGGGACTACTGTATACACACCAGATAAGGGGGGACTACTGTATACACACCAGATGAGGATAAGGGGAGACTACTGTATACACACGGGATGAGGATGAGGGACTATTGTATACACACCACATGAGGATAAGGGGGGACTACTGTATACACACCAGATGAGGATAAGGGGGGACTACTGTATACACACACGGGATGAGGATAAGGGGGGACTACTGTATACACATTGGATGAGGATAAGGGGGGACTATTGTATACACACCAGATGAGGATAAGGGGGGACTACTGTATACACACCAGATGAGGATAAGGGGGGACTACTGTATACACACCGGATGAGGATAAGGGGAGACTACTGTATACACACGGGATGAGGATGAGGGACTATTGTATACACACCAGATGAGGATAAGGGGGACTACTGTATACACACCGGCTGAGGATAAGGGGGGACTACTGTAGACACACCGCAAGAGGATAAGGGGGGACTACTGTATACACACCGGATGAGGATAAGGGGGGACTACTGTATACACACCGGATGAGGATAAGGGGGGACTACTGTATACACATCGGGTAAGGGGGAACTACTGTATACACACAGGACTGACTTTTTACATTTAAAAATCAGTGTGTTAGAATTTATACAAGAGAACTACTTTCTGCTAGAGGCTGCCCAGCTCCGCCCCTGGCTCTGCATGGGGTCGGGGCCTGGGCAGGGGAGAGTGAGATGCCTGCACCTATTCATCTCATTGGTGTGGACACTGCTCAGAGTACCCTGGATCCTTTTCAAAACCGCCCCCAAAGCCAGCACAGCCCAAGTCGCCAAGGCTGTGGACGGAGCTTTATGGTCCCTCCCTTTTCAGAACTGGGAGAAACCGCCCACTGGGACAATGGTCGCCTGGTGTCAGGCGTGCTGGCTGCTGAGTGATGGGAGTGGACACTTGAGGGCCACAGGGCTGGACGGCGCCCACAAACCCCAGGTCCAGGACCCCTGCAGGAGGCCCGGGGCCCAGGGAGCCCCCCAAGTGCCTGCGGCAAGCCCCCCGGTGGATGACTCACATGGAACGCTGCGACAAAGAAGGTCAGCGCCAGGAAGTATAAGTTGGTATCTACAAAAATTCCTTTCACCTCATCAGCATCTTTCTCTGAAAACCCTGTCAAGGAAAAAAAAACATACAATATAAAACAGGCAATGTCAATCTTACCTAACATTACAAATACAGTTTTCAATATAAAAATTTAGGCCGGGCGCAGTGGCTCATGCCTGTAAACCCAGCACTTTGGGAATCTCAGGCAGGCAGATCACTTGAAGTCAGGAGTTCAAGACCAGCCTGGTAAACATGGTGAAACTCCATCTCTACTAAAAATACAAAAATTAGCTGGGCGTGGGGGCACGCGCCTGTAATCCTAGCTACTGGGGGGACTGAGGAACGAGAATCGCTTGAATCCGGGGGGCGGAGGCTGCAGTAACCAGAGATTGTGCCACTGCACTCCAGCCTGGGCAACAGAGCGAGACTCTGTCTCAAAACAAACAAACAAACAAACAAACAAACAATAAAAATAAATCTCATCAACAGTTAAGGTTCATTTGACCAAACTCATGGCATTTCACATATTATGTTCTTAATAAAGCCAATTTCCAGACAATCAACCAGGTCATCTCCAAGGAGAGAAGTGAGGCAGGCGCTGCTAGCCTCTGATTCAACGTCTGTGCAAGGATCTGCAGCAGGAGGCGAGGAGGCCCCGGCCTGTGTCAGGATTCGCACTTGGATGCCCGAGGGGCTCCAGGGCGGCCTCACCCAGGCGCCGGCCGTGTGCGGCACATACCGAACTGCTGCAGGGAGTACACGGCGTCCTGCATGTGGATCCAGAAGCGCAGCCGCCCCAGTGAGACCTTGTCGTAGGACACGGTGAGGGGCAGCTCGGTGGTGGAGCGGTTTATGACCTGATGAAGAAAGCCACACTGAGGGCCCTGCCCTCATACCCTTGCACCCAGCTGCCTGGCAGCCCTCGCCAACCCTGCCATCCCCCTTCCCATCCCTGTGTGGCCCCAGGTCAGCCATGACTGGGCCCAGCAAGCATCCCCCGGTCCCTCCTTCTGTCACCACAGGCCTCAGGCCCCAGCGTGCTGCGTTCCAGCACAGGGAGGTTCCCACCCCCACCAGGACCCCGTGAGCTCAGCAGCGCTAGCAGTGCCTGGTCTGTTTTGCTGCACGTGCCCCTTCAATTTTAAGCCGCACAAGTCCTGGTGCCCCGGAGGTGGTGCTTGCCACCCAGCTGCTAGGACTCCATGGCGCAGCATACGGCGCTGAGCTTGGCCTGCAGAGCCCTGGCCTGTCCTAAGAGTTGGAGACCACGGGACAAGCACAGCCCTGCAGCACATGGGCAAAGTGCCTCAGGGCCTAAAGCACAGAGCAGGGGGTGGCCGTGGGGACAACAGAAAGCTTCTGGAACGCAAAGCTAGCAGGGGCAGTAGGGTGGATGTGTAGGTCTCAGAACCACGAGCTTAGTCCTGCAGCCTGCCGGGGCCTCACGCACACAGGCTGTGGGCCAGGTCCCAGGGTGCCGAGGTAGGAGGGTGAGGAACGGGTTCACAAGCGCGAGCCCACACCCTACAGCACGTGGGCAGTGACCACACCCGGTGAGCACCACCCTCCACGTTCTGGAACATCCAGCGAGGGCTGTGCTCTAATCCACCTGCCCTGCCTCAAGCCCTGACCCGCCACCCTCCACGTGCTGGAACATCCAGCGAGGGCTGTGCTCTAATCCACCTGCTCTGCTATGGCGGGCACTGCTGGTGTCAGGGTGTGGTGGAATCAGAGCCACAACCAGCAGGTGCCAGGTTGCCCTGAGAGCGGCTGTCAGGGCGCCCCACGTAGCCAAGTGGCATCAGTGCACATGGATGGTGGCCTCCAGGCACCCCTCGAGCTGCCAAGCGTGTCCGAAGGGTGTCACTGCCTCCTCCATCTGGCAGTGCTGGGCCCAGCCACAGAAGGTGCCGACTTCCTGCACCTGCTGCATCCCAGCTGCCTGCTTCCTCTCTCAAGACAGCACCTCTCGAATCTGGCCCCAAGTGAGACACAGCAACAGCGACACATGAGAGAGACTGTGATTTGGGGGAAAAGCTGCTGTCGGCACACGTGTCTCCATAACCACTGGAACGCAGGCCACCACTGGCACAGCTGCGCCGCAAAGCCTGCCCCGGGCCTCTAACAAGACAGATCTGCAGACAGACACACAGGGCAGCCTTCTGCAGCTGCCTGCCCCTGTCCACCATCTCCTGAATGCCTGCAAGGAGTCAGCGGCATGAGGCTTCACAAGAGGTGACCACGAGCTGGTGCCACAGCTCACACAGCTCTGTATGGGGCATTTTAGCAGAACTTGCTGTCCTGAGGTTTGTCAGCAGCACACCAGCAAACTCCAGCAAACAGAGAAAGAGGTTGGAATTGCAGGGGCCGACAGAGAAACTACTCAGGGATAGGCTGCAGCGCCAGACCTGCTCGCCAGCCACTGCCTGTGCAGCCCCCAGCCTGCAGGTTGTATAGGAGCAATCAGTGACCCCAGAAGTGAAGGAGGCAGTATGTTAGGGACTGCAAGGGGTCTGAGGGAACAGCAGTACAGGGGGACTGTTCTGAGAGCCGCAGTCAGGAGGAGGCAGCAGGGCCTGGGCAGAGATCAAAGCAGCCAGGTGCTCGCTTCTCCGTTTCCCAGCTGCACCCCCCCGCTAGCAAGCCCTCTGCTCTCCCCAGGACTGTTTCCTCTTCAACAAAAAAGGGGAAAGGGCCCGCCTCAGAGGTCAGAGGTGCCGAGAGCCTTAAGTGGAAGTGGCCGGCTCCTAGTGGGTGATCCGGAGTGACAGTGATGGCTTGCAGGGAGGCAGGGCAGGGCAGCGATCCTGCAGGGCCCCAGCTGAGCGTTCACCTCTGAACCCCAAATAACCTCATCCGTGAAACAACGCCACAGCTCCCAGCACCACAATTACGGAAAGATTCACAAAGTGCTTAGCACAGTGCCTCATGTGCAGTAAGAGACATTAAATATTAACTGCTTCTGTGAGTCTCAATACTGGCCAAAGGTTGGCCACATTTCATCTCCTCTCAAAGCAACTATGGGAGAGCAGGCGCTGTCACTGCCCGTAATCACAGGGCGCCAGAGCCCAGAGAGCAGCCACTTCTATTCGCAAAGGCCTTCCGCCTTGCCAGGGGCCACCCCGGGGGCTCCAGCTCCGAGGAAGGGCTGTCACCCGCTCCTCTGGCCGCCTGTGCAGGACCAGCCCTGGTGGGGAAAGCAGGAGTTTGCTCAGGATACTGTGAATTAATCTACATGGCACACCAGGAGCTCACACGCAGACGCTGTTTCACACGGTGCTCATGTGCCTGCTCTCTAAGCGCTGCCCTCTATGCGCTGCATAAACAATCTTCCAGGGGCCTTTCACCAGTGACAGTCCAGAGGCTCAGCAGGACCCCGCAGCCAGCCAACGGCAAACCCAGCACACCACCAGGGCCCCCCTGTCACAACCCTCGCACACTCGAAGGCAGTGCTTCCCAGCACGGGTAAAAGCACCGTGTCAAATGTCAGCAATGGCCCGGTCCATTAGGGTGCAGGGGCTGCGGGGCCAGTCTTGGGGTCAGTGTCTCGCCAGCTGCACAACCAGCGGGCAGAGGTGTCACTCACCATCAGGTCCTTCACGCGGTTGCTGAGCTGGTCGATGAACAGGATGGGCAGGTAATGCACGGTTTTCCCCAGCTGGATCCTGGGATTAAAGCACAACTTTCCAAAGTCAGCACCAAGGCTTTTACCTTTCAATGAATGAACACATCCAGACACTGGGTTTACCCCAGAGAAGTGCCCCCAGCACCACCCTCAACTGCTTCTCAGTCACAATGACCCCAGGGCACAGCCTCCCCAAACGGAAGCAGAGAGCCTGACAACATATGCACGCTTGTGAGACCCGCTCCCCAGGAAGTGATGGCCACAGGTGGGAAAATGCCTCCACGGCCACTAGGAGCGGGGGAATTACAGGGACACGGCCGTACAGCAGAACCCAGGGCCCTCTGCGCACTGACACGGAGCAATCCCAGGATGCACTGACACGGAGCAATCCCAGGATGTGGCCACTACACTTGGAAGGGCGAGTCACCTGCAGCCACCTGGGAGGCGGAGCTGTGGCGCAGGAGTTGGGGGGGGGATCCCCAACACATGGGAGAGACGAGGTGAGCTCAGGTGGCCAAACACGTGAATTCCAATAATTGTATTTAACTGATGGCAAGTGATACTAAATAATCTAAAGATTAACTTTTAAGTAAATCTAAATAAGCCAAGTTAAAAAATCACAAGGGGAGCAAAGCAACCCGTTCCCATCAGCGCCTTCCGTTTTCTCTCCATGGAAGCCTTCGCCAGCCAGGAGCAAAGGGCAGGATGCTCCAGCTTGAATTCCTTTCTCCCCCCTTCCAGCCCTGTGGTAGCAGCACAACCTCAATGAGGAAGTGGGAAAGAGCTGGGAGGCCCGGGCAGCAAGTGCCTCCCCACAGAGGGGACTCCACGGTGCAGGAGTGACCTGCTGGCGAGTTCTGGCCAGCCAGGGTCCCAGCACCCTCCCCCCGGCGCTCCAGCTCTGGGGCCCCACTTACATCTTCATGTACCGATGCACATCGGCAGGCAGGGAGGACCCGTCAAAGACAAAGTTGTCCGCCATCACGTTCAGCGCCAGCCGCGGTCGCCAGTGGGACACTGGCTCATCCAGGGCACTCGTCGGCTTCTTCTCCGCCTCGATCTGCTGTTAAGTGAGGAAAACAGAGGCCAATGCTGGGACAGAAAACCATGCCCAGGACAGCAGGGTCAGCCCCCTAACCTGCGAACAGAACGGCCACACAGACAGGCAAACTGTGCCCGGGACAGCAGGGTCAGCCCCCTAACCTGTGAAGAGATGGCCACACAGACGGGCAAACTGTGCCCGGGACAGCAGGGTCAGCACCCTAACCTGTGAAGAGAACGGCCACACAGACGGGCAAACTGTGCCCGGGACAGCAGGGTCAGTGCCCTAACCTGTGAACAGATGGCCACACAGACTGGCAAACTGTGCCCGGGACAGCAGGGTCAGCGCCCTAACCTGTGAACAGATGGCCACGCACATGGAAAAACCGCACCCGGACAGCAGGGTCAGCACCCTAACCTGTGAAGAGAACGGCCACACAGACGGGCAAACTGTGCCCGGGACAGCAGGGTCAGCGCCCTAACCTGTGAACAGATGGCCACACAGACGGGCAAACTGTGCCCGGGACAGCAGGGTCAGCGCCCTAACCTGTGAACAGATGGCCACGCACATGGAAAAACCGCGCCCGGACAGCAGGGTCGGCACCCTAACCTGTGAAGAGAACGGCCACACAGACGGGCAAACTGTGCTCGGGACAGCAGGGTCAGCGCCCTAACCTGTGAACAGATGGCCACACAGATGGGCAAACTGTGCCCGGGACAGCAGAGTCAGCGCCCTAACCTGTGAACAGATGGCCACGCACATGGAAAAACCGCGCCCGGACAGCAGGGTCAGCACCCTAACCTGTGAAGAGAACGGCCACACAGACGGGCAAACTGTGCTCGGGACAGCAGGGTCAGCGCCCTAACCTGTGAACAGATGGCCACACAGACGGGCAAACTGTGCCCGGGACAGCAGGGTCAGCGCCCTAACCTGTGAACAGATGGCCACGCACATGGAAAAACCGCGCCCGGACAGCAGGGTCGGCACCCTAACCTGTGAACAGATGGCCACGCACAGGCACAACCGGGGGAGAGCCCAGCAGAGAGGGCACAGCGGCCCCACAGCTGCCAATTCCGCCAGACTCTCGCCAAACAGCCCCCCATCCTTATCTCCACGGAAGCCAGGGGGTGCTGCTTTGCAACATGTGGTCACGGACTTCACCAATTCCTTTTTTGAGGTCCTCAAACTAAGTGGGCCCACTTCTCAGAAGTTGAGAGGGTGAGAGCCCCCTGACCTTGGCAGAAGACTGTGCAAGTCCAGGGCTCACACAGCCCTGTGGCTGTAAGGAGACTGAGAGGGAGTCAGCTTCTAAAACCAAGCATGTGGGGCTGCCTAAAGGAGACATACTGAGGATTACACACGGCTCTTACATGAAGTTAAACAGGACATGGACTGACAGGGAAATCTTAGCTCGGCTCAGATCTGATACATCCTAGGAAGCACTATCGCCTCACCCATTTCCTACCTAAAGATGCAGTTTAGCGATAATTTACATTACAAACGGTTTTCCACACCTCCTCACATTTGCTACCTGCAAGGGAGGCTTCCTGCGCTACATGCTACATGCCCATCACCCCACCCACTTTTCAGGACACTGGAGAGGAGGGATGGGGGCCCCAGATGAGGGGACACGGAGAGGGGCAGGTGAGGGATGTTCCTAAGGAGACAGATGCAAACTGGGGAGAGGCAGGAGCAGGTGTTGGTAGGGCTTTCAAAACCCCATCAACTCCGAGAGACCTCTCTTTCTCTCTGTCTGGAACAATTTCACAGCCTCTTCCTGGAAAGCTGCCATCTTTCTTGTTTTGTAAATTTTTCTGAGGCAGAGTCTCCCTCTGTCGCCCAGGCTGGAATGCAGTGGCATCATCTCACCTCACGGGTTCAAACGATTCTCCTCCCTCAGCCTCCTGAGTAGCTGGGATTACAGGCGCGTGCCACCACATCCAGCTAATTTTTGTATTTTTAGTAGAGACGGGGTTTCACCATGTTGGCCAGGCTAGTCTCGAACTCCTGACTGCAGGTGATCCACCTGCCTCAGCCTCCCAAAGTGCTGGGATTACAGGCATGAGCCACTGCGCCCGGCCTTGTTTTGTAAATTATCTCACCTTCCACTCAACACAAAGGTGGGTGTCAGAATTCCCTTGCTTTATCCTTGGCCTGTATTCATGATCACTTAAGTGACTTCCAGTTTTTATTTGCGCATACACCTTTCTACAGATGTACAAACTACAACTTGTACCTCTACCTTTTCCATGATCTCCAATTACATTCTTAGAATAAACATCTAGGAATAGCCCAGTCCTACACAGAATGCAGAATGAGCCCAGCTCTCATCCCCAGAGCTCCTGGTGAGAAGCTGCAGGCCAGCTCTGCAGGACCAGCGCTCCATCCCACCAGGTGCAGTAGGTGCCCCCAGAGACTGAGAGGGCCCATTCCCCGAGGGACTCTGCATCGAGAATGCCAGCGATCACTTCAACTGTCCCTAATTTTAGATAAAACTTGTCTGCAAACTCATGGATATGATTCAGCTGAAAGTCAGAAATGCACGCCAGTAACATTCCAATGGCTTTTGGCTTTACTCCCAACAAAGTCACTGGAGCCCTAGACATCGCCCACCTGTGTGGAGAAAGACATGTCCGTTCTGACGGAGAGGCACAGCCTGTTATCAGTAACCCATGAAGACCCTCACCTGTGTATCAGACTCCCCGGTGAGCAGGTTGATTTCTTCTGGCTTGGGGACCATGTAGGTGGTCAGAGGACTGACCAGGTGCACCTGCTTCCCGTCGTGCCACGGCAGGACCCCAGCGTGATGGAGGAAGATGTAGGCATACAGCGTCCCATTGTTTCTCGTTTTCTTTGGTACAGAAACATTAACTGTCCTGAAACAGAACAATCATTTCCACTACATACATATTATATTCTGGGTCTCTAGAACCTATTCAAATACCTTTATAAAGCTGCTTCAATAAACTAATTTTAGCTCAGAAGTACTAAAAATGAAACCCACCTGCCCAGGGCTTTACGAGTCGTGTGTGTGTGTGTGTGTGTGTGTGTGTGTGCACGCGCACGCGTGCGCGTCCTGAGAACTCGGCACAGGTGTGGGCGCCTACAGCCGAAAGCAAAACGGCCCGCACTTCCTGCCTCCATCTCAGGAGGCTGAGAGGTCAATAACCCACCTGAGGCCACAAGGCTGAAGCAGCCAGATGGAAAGCAGCTTCTGGGCCTGGCCAGGGTACCAGCTGACCACACACACTGAATCACCCAACTCCGAAGCGACAGAAGGGAAGGGCAGCAGCCACGAGGGCTCCAGGTGCCTCGGCCCACACTACTGGAACCTCAGAAATTTAATGTGGGTAGTTTTTTTGGGTGTTGTAGTTTTAAGGATAAAAAGATGATCAGCCACAAAGGACTGACTTTCAAGGCTGTCAGTCCTGACTGTGTGGCATCCAGCACGAGCTGAGGAAAGGCCCGGCGAGCTGCTACAACTGTAGGCCTCGGACCAGGTGCCTGGCTCTTCACCCGCACACCAGGGCCCGACGTCCATACTACAGCCCCATGGAAAAACCTCGCATTCCACCTGTTTACGGTTACATGAGTTCTTCTTCCTCTTTAAAAGTCTCTTTTTTGAGACAAGGTCTCGCTGTCACCAGGCTGAAAGTGTAGGGGTGCAATCACAGCTCACTGCATCCTCAACCTCCTGAGCTCAAGTGACCTCCCGCCTCAGTCTCCCGAGTAGCTGGGACTACAGGTGGGCGTGCCACCATGCCTGGCTAACTTTGAAAACTGTTGTAGAGATGGGGTTTTGTCACATTGCCTAGGCTGGTCTTGAACTGCTGGGCTCAAGTGATCCTCCCGCCTTGGCCTCCCAAACTGCTGGGATTATAGGCATGAGTCACTGTGCCCGGCCTCTCCTTAAAAATCTTACGGTTGGCCGGGTGCGGCGGCTCACGCCTGTAATCCCAGCACCTTGGGAGGCCGAGCCGGGCAGATCACGAGGTCAGGAGTTTCAGACCAGCCCAGCCAACATGGTGAAACCCTGTCTCTACTAAAAATAAAAAAATTAGCCAGGCGTGGTGGCGGGTGCCTGTAGTCTCAGCTACTTTGGAGGCTAAGGCAGGAGAATCCCTTGAACCCGGGAACCGGAGGTTGCAGTGAGCAGAGATCACGCCACTGCACTCCAGCCTGGCAACAGAGCAAGACTCTATCTCAAAAAAAAAAAAAAATCTTACGGCCAAAGTTGTAATGAAAAACACAAAGGCATCTATGGCTCCTCACTACCCAGGAAAGAGTATGTCTCCACCAGGACATCTTAAGTGTCTCTCTTCAGGCAGAGGGTGCAGGGCTGTGTATTTCTGGTGGAATGTGCACTTGGAGACACTTGAGGCGGAGCTGTGTTAAGAGTGCTCATTCTCCCCACTTCCTCCAGGCTGACACTGTGCCAGGTCAAATGGAAAACCTCACTAGCTGTCCTTGGTAACTGGTACACGGCCCGGCACGGAAGAGGCAGTATTCATGTCTGGGAAATTAAACCCAGTGCAGATGAATCCTGAGCATTTTTGAAAGGTGTGGGCAGCTACAACCGAGCGGGCAGCTTGGTCACCAGCACTTCTGGCCTCCCCTTCATGGAGGCAGAGAGAGGGCAGGAACTGGCTTGAGGTCACAGGCCTAAAGAGGCCAGGCAGAAACCGGCTTGCCAGCGCCTCCAGCTACCCCCAGGGACTGGCTGCCTAGAGGGCGTGGAGTCCAGCATGAGTCTCAAACTTTCATTATTCTCTCCTCAGATACCTCCCAGGCAATGAAGGGAAATGGTTGACTTGTGAGAAGCAAATCATATTTAAAAGTATACTTATTCAATTAAAAAAAATTAGGCCATGTCAGATGTAATTTTTAAGATACTCTACATATTTGGACATTGATCTATTCTAACGTCACATGTCACTTATTTATGATTTTCTACAAAATTGCTTCCTCTATCCTCATCTCTTTTCCCTCACAAGTAACTTAAGCGAACTACTTCCACCAGGAAAAGACAAGTTGGTCCCCGGTAGTGAAACTGCAGAGTTGTCTGCTCTCCACTGGTTCACCAAGCGTGGCCCCTGCTCCTTCGGAGCCTCCCCGTCCAGGACATCCCACTGCCATCACACTCTGCTGAGAACTACTTCTTAAACGACATTCATCACCTGTCACCTTCCAGGCTGAATGTTTACAGGCCACGCATAGGCCTCCAGTTAGGATATTCTACCACTTCAAGACATTCGGTAAGACTAGTTCTCTAAAATAAACATGTTATGTACAGAAAGCTAACTTTTAAACAATCTGAACATGAGTAATGTTTTCCCTTTCACTGGCATTTTGTCCTACGCCCATACCTTTCAAATTTGGACTCCACATCAAAGTCTTCCACATTCAAGACCAGGTCGATGTTGTTCTCAGCACCCAGGTGGGACCTCGTCGTGGTGTACACGCTCAGCTGGAAAGGAGGGGGCGTCGAGAGTCAGCTCGGCCAGGCCCTGGCAGGACGCACTCAAATCCCACGGCCAGCTGGAGGGCGGAAGACCTGGCCGCTGGGGAACCAGGAAAGGTTCCATCTCGACTCGCGCGGCCACAGCTCCGAACTGGGACGGGAAGGCGACGTCTGGGGCCTGGAGGAGAGGCCCCCACCCCAACCCGCCCGGCCCCCGGCCCCGCGGACGCTCACCTGCAGCTTGGGCCGCCGCGCCAGGTAGGGCTGGATGCAGTTGGCGTCGCCGGAGCACGGGCGGGTGTAGACGATGCCGTACATGACCCAGCAGGTGTGCACCACGTAGACCACGAACACGCCCACCACCAAGCTGGTGAAGGAGCTGCGGCCGCTCCACATGGCGGCCCCGCGCCCGGCGCCCCCGGCCCGCCCGCCTCTCAGCCGCGAGCCCCGCCCGCCCGGCGCCCAGCCCGCCGCTCCGGGCTCCGCCGCTCACTGGAGAGCCGCCGCGCGCCACCGCCACCGCCGCGGGGGAACGAATGCGCCGCGCGCCGCAGACCGCCGGCCGCCCCGCATGCTCCGGCCCCGCTCCCACCTGGCGCCGCGGGATTCGCCGGCCCCGCGCGCCGCTTCCGGGCCCCGCCGCCTGCCGGAAGTGGACGCGCCGCGCGGCTCCCTGGGAAACGGAGTCTCGGCCGCTGCCGCGCACGCGCATCCAGGATGCGGCGCGTGTGTGACGTTACCCGCCCGCGCCGCCCTCCTGGGGTGCCTCTCAGGGACCCAGGCGCTCAGCTGCTGGGGCCGCGGAGGGCGTTCGCGGGGCGCCGGGGAAGGCTAGGGCCGCGGGGTCCCCGGGGCGCCGTCCCCAACCGCCGACGCCTGCCAGACCACCAAGTGGGGGCCATGTCGACGTGTGAGGAGCCTGGTGGAAGGTGATACTGGAATTCCGGCACTGGGCCTGCAACCCTTTTAGTCCACAGTTGTCAGAATCTAAAGGGAAGAAAAACGAAGTGCTCAGAACCCTCACAGAAGCCGGGCACCTCATCCCGTGTGTGGGTTTTTTCCCCAGTACAAACCCATTGTGGGGACAGGCGCTTTTGAAGAAAAAATTCAGATTCCCGGGCTGAAGTGGCTCCTCACAGCCTTGAACCTGACCCCCAGCTTCCCGCTAAAGCCGAGCGTGCCCAGCACGGCGAGGTCAGCAGAGGCCCCTCGGAGGGCGGCCGGGGGAGGTCAGTGGGAGGCCCTCGGGCAGCCGGTGGATGGGCCGGCGACCTCCCCGACTCCATCAGAAGCGCTCAGTCTGTGCCCTTCAGTTACTGGAGCAGCTCCCGTCCTTTGGCCAGTTCTCTGGAAGGTCGTTTCCGTTTCTGTGTCTGCCACACGTGCAGCACAATCGAAAAACCTTGTTCGACATTTCTAGAAAGAGTAGATGCTACTGAAGACCCAATAGATTGCTGAGGGTTTTCAGAGCAGGGACAATTGCATCAGGGTGCTGGGCTCCGGGAAGAACTCAGAGGACTTGGCTGACGGGCGGATGGGACAGTGATTGGTGCCGAGAATGGGCCAGAGAAGCAGGTCTGCCTGGAGCAGGCACCCGAGGCCGCGTGCAGGGGCGGTCCTGGGCCACCAACCCCTGGAAGCTGGGCCAGGAGCTTCGGAGCCATCCGAGGCTTTTTTCGCTCCTCTCACTCTCATGCACCTAGTTACCCTCCCCACAGAGTCTTCTCACGGCGCGGTTTTCGGCTACCATTGCAGTGGTGTCTGACTACACCCAGTGCCTCTATCGTTCCCCCCTCAGTCTGTTCTCGCTTCTTGGCAAACCTGTCCTTGGAAAGCCCTCTGCTGACTCCTGTTACCCTGATCAAATGCATCCTCCTCAGGAGGCTCGTGAGCCCTTTGCAGGGTGGCCCAAGAGGCATCACGCCCTGCTCTCCAGCCACTCTTGGGGTCCCCTACAGGGCCAGGCGTCCCACACCAGCAGCGGGTGCTGGTCCTGCCACAGTCTGTGCGACACGTGAATGAAGGCTGTAGACCTGTGGTCTGCGGGAGGCAAATTCCAACTCCAGCTGTCAAACATAAGGGGACTGGTAGGCTCTCCAGGGTGGATTGTCTCACGGCATCCAGAGGCAGGGACCGAGGCAGGGACCTAGCCAGGCCTCGGGAAGGAGCTGCAAACCCAGGAGCTCTGGGGTGTGGCTTCATCTCCCTCCCTCCCTACCACCCTACCCCCATCTCTCCGTGTTCTTCAGATGCCTCATTTTCCTGTCAGGCACCTGGCCAGCTCTAGGAGCTGGAATCAGGTTGGTGCCTCCTTGGTCAGTGTCCACCCCTAGTGTCATCCACAGTGACCAACGGAAGGGGTGGCCGGTGGTACAGGACATTGGCCATCTTGGGAAAGATCACAGAGACAGGAAGGGCCTCTCCAGCTGAGCAGATGAGAGGTTCTTCAGTGGTCTGGACACATTTGCCCACTCATGGCCGTCCCCCTGCCCTGTTGAGAGAACCGATGAGGAAAGGGAGCCCTGCATCTGTCGCCTTCCGACTCCGACCGCCTGAGGCTGGGCTGCCGGCAAGCCGCGGCAGCATATGACAGCACTTGAAAGAAAGTCCCTGGAAAGAATGTGGATCATTGCAGAACTCCCTCAAGAAAGCGCCAGAGGAGGACCCCATTCAGCACCCCGCAGAACTCCTCAAACTCCTGCGTCCACACTCCCCCAGCGTGGTGGCTGCTTCTATCTCCCCAGGCTTAGCTGGCCTGGGTCTTGAAGGCCTCTCCTCCTGCTGTCCCCACGCAGCATCCTCTCTGCCACTGCACAGCTGGATGCAGTGAAGGCCAGGCGGCTGTGGCTGCTTGGGCAACAGGAGCTGCTTGACCCTGTTCTGCTGGCCTTGTTGGCCTCACTCCCGTAGAGAGCCAAGGTTACCCACGTCTCTGAAGCTAAGGCTTTCTTTCTAGGCCTGGGGGAGTCACATCTTGCATTCGTACTCACTGAGCTCCACGTCTATGGTTAGAGAATTTATCAACATTTTATAATGCTTTTATCAATTCCATCATTTGAGGGCCCTCTGGCAAGGAACCTGTTAGTACATGGAGTGCCTGGAATGTTCCAGAAAGCTAACATGAACAGCTGGCCCTTGCTGTCCTTATACATTGAGGACTCCAAAGGCCACTCAGGATGACAGGAAATGCAGGCTCCAAAAGATTCGGTTCCTTTGTGAGGCCCTCGGGCAGTGGTCAGACACGAAGGAAATAGGAAATCACCCCCAAACCACACCTCTCCCTATGAGGCCACAGCTGCCGATGCAGCCTTGGGAGGGGGATGGAGGGAGAGAGGAGGGCATCTGAATGTGGACACACCCTGCTGTGAGGGCTGTGGGCGGTCCTGAGACTGGAGCCAGCCCCCAGGCTCAGCTCAGCTCGGGGACCTCGTGCCCGGGCTTTCCTGGGGAGGAAGGTGTTGGATCTCCTGCCTCTCTGTATTCATTCACACTTTGGGTTTCTCTCTCTTCCGCGCATTCTAACATCTGCAGGATTTTTTTTTTTTTTTTTTTTTTTTTGAGACAGAGTCTCGCTCTGTTGCCCAGGCTGGAGTGGAGTGGTGCGATCTCAGCTCGCTGCAAGCTCCGCCTCCTGGGTTCACGCCATTCTCGTGCCTCAGCCTCCAGAGTAACTGGGACCACAGGCGCCCGCCACGACGCCCAGCTAATTTTTTGTATTTTTAGTAGAGACGGGGTTTCACCGTGTTAGCCAGGATGGTCTCGATCTCCTGACCTTGTGATCCGCCCGCCTCGGCCTCCCAAAGTGCTGGGATTACAGGCGTGAGCCACCGGGCCTGGCACATCTGCAGGATTTATGGATGAAGGGCCACAAACCCACATTTGGTCTCATTCAACAGATGTTGTGTCGGCAGGGCGAGGTGGGACTCTGTCTCTGCCCACGCTACCTGCCCCTGGGGTTGTAGTTCTAGGAAAGCAAGTCTCAGACTGAGTTTTGATCTGGATTAAATTCTGTCCCAGGTGCAGATATTTATAGGAAAGCAGGGACAAGAGCCCTCAGGCAAAGCTGGGTATCCTGCGATGGGTGCCTCTGGGAGTTCGCAGATAACAAGGCCTTTTCCTGGAGGCAAAGCAGAAGCGTTCTGTGGCAGACCAGTCAGCTTTCTAGCAGGTCAGGGGCAGGGACATCTAGGCCCAAGGTGTCACACCGTGCCTGGCTGCTGGCTCTCCTCTTGCAAGGACACAGCTCTTACAGGACTTCCTAGCCCACCCAAGAACATCTTTCCATCATCGAAAAGTTATTGATAAGATTTTTCCATCACTGAAAAGTTATTGATAAGTGCCACCATGTGCATGAGCAGCCCTCCAGGTGCTGGCTTGTGGGCCGGTGTTTGAGAATCTTGCCAGTTGAATGTGGGCATCTGTTGAGGGTTTCCCAAAGGCTAACCGTTCGTGCCAGAGGGAGGCCGTGGCTCATTCCTAGGGCCCTGGGTGAGACTGGGGCTCATGCACACACAGGTATCGATGGCATGGGCTGTAACGAGCTGAGTGCCTGCTGCCCTTTCCTAGTGGGGGGGGTGGGCTCCTGGAGAAAGAGGGGAGGCTGCTACTCTCCAGGGCCACAGGGAGCCCAGAACGCCACCTCCTGGTGTCAGCAGCAGCAAATCCATATAAGTCTGCAGCAACTTAGCTTTTGCCTCCTCAGAGGAAATAATTCATCCAGGGGGCACAAGGCAGGGTCAGAGACTGAGGTAAGTTTCAGAGCAAGAGTGAAAGTTTATTAAAAAAGTGTTAGAGCAGGAACGAAAGGAAATAAAGTACACTTGGAGGAGGGCCAGGTGGGCATCTTGAGAGAGCAAGTACACGGTTTTGACCTTTGACTTGGGGTTTATATCTTGGCATGCTTCTGGGGGCTGCGTCCCTTCTCCCCTGATTCTTCCCTTGGGGTGGGCTGTCCGCATGCGCAGTGGCCTGCCGACACTTGGGAGGGCCGCGTGCACAGTGTGCTTACTGGAGTTGTGCGGTGCCCTCTTGAGGCAGTCTTCCCTTACCAGTTCCTAGGGGAAGGTCACACGCTGGTTAAACTTTGCCACTTTGCCTCGTAGTGTGCATGCTTGACCTCACTCACCAACTCCTGAGATTTTTTTTAAATTTTTTAATTTAAGTTCTAGGGTACATGTACACAACGTGCAGGTTTGTTACATAGGTATGCATGTGCCATGTTGGTTTGCTGCATCCATTAACTCGTCATTTACATTAGGTATTTCTCCTAATGCTATCCTTCCCACCCCACGACAGGCCCTGGTGTGTGATGTTGCCCGCACTGTGTCCAAGTGTTCTCATTGTTCAATTCCCACCTGTGCCAACTCCTGGGATCTTATCGGGAAGTGGCTCATCATCAGCTTTAGGTGTTTTCTATCTATTGGGAGCCTGCCTTTCTCTGGCACCAGCT
This sequence comes from Homo sapiens, assembly GCF_000001405.40. Lineage (NCBI taxonomy): Eukaryota > Metazoa > Chordata > Mammalia > Primates > Hominidae > Homo > Homo sapiens. Next base: position 164,114 of record NT_187547.1, on the reverse strand, counting down.
GCAACCAATAATTATTTTAGACAGTTTAACAACAGCTTGACCATCACCTGATGATCACCTGACATTTCTGTTGGGGCGCGGGCCCATCTCCTGCCCCGCTCATGTGGGGCTCAGTCTGCCCAACCTTTCCCCAAGGGCCTGTCTTTACTTCATTTGTGGTAAGCCCCAAGCAGAATGGACTCTTGTTATGATCCCAGGAACTGCTCACGGCCACCTCTGTGGATGAACACCTAGCGGCTGCTCTAAATACATGCTGTGAAAGTTGTCAGAATCAAAATGGAGTCACTAATGTTAAGAAAGCCCTGACAAAGAGTTGGTGGGGAAGGCCACGAAGAGAGGACACTTATGCTTGCATGCCTGATACCAGAAAGGACTACAAAAACCACAGCCCGGCACAGAGGCCATCACACCCTTACACAAAAAATATTTCTGCAAGGACAACTGCCCAGCAATTGCCTGTCCAACCTCAGACTGGAATGACCTTTGTTATTGATGTTTGTAGCCAAGGAGAATTATCTCAAAACCACTGTGATCCTGCTCGCTTTTCCTTTAAAGACCTTTGTCTTCCTTGACCTCCCTGAATAGGCATATGGTTTACTATGGCGTGTGTACTCTCCTTGTAATGTTCTGTTCTCAAGCTAACATCTATTCTTCTAGAGAACCTCTCTCTTAGGCTGACAACGCTGTGGATCTGGGCTCCCAGGAACTGGGGCTGACATCAGAGGGGTGGAAAGAGAACAGCAGCTCTCCCTGAGGGGATGCTTGCCAAGGATAAGGAGACGATGGTTCTCTAAGGATTATTTTATATTCATCTAAAAGGGTATTTTTGTTGTTACCCCTAGCCTTTTTTCCCTTTTAATTTTCTGATGAATAATTTATATAAAGAAAACCCATTCTAAGTGTGCAATTCTATGAGTTTTGACAAATGTCTTCACCCATGCAAATCCTGTTACAACGGAGATATAGAACATTTCCATTACTTAAAAACAGCCAGGTGCTGTAGCTCATGCCTGTAATCCCAGCACTTTGGGAGGTCAAGGCGAGAGGATTACTTGAGCCCAGGAGTTCAAGACCAGCCTGGGCAACATAGTGATGCCCCATCTCTACAAAAATAGAAGAAATTAGCTGGGCATGGTGGTACATGCCTGTGATCCCAGCTACTTGGGAGGCTGAGGTAAGAGGATTGCTTGAGCCTGGGAGGTGGAGGCTGCAGTAAGCCACAATCTCACCACTGCACTCCAGCCTGGGTGACAGTCAGACCCTGACTCCAAACAAAAACCAAAACTTCCTTCTTGCCCCTTTGCAGCCAGACTGTTTTCTGTCATTGTGGATGCATCTGTTCTAGAAATTTACATGGATGGAATCACTCAGTCTTTTGTATCTGGCTTCTTTTACTTGGCACAGTGTTTGTGAAACTCATCATTGTTCCACATAACAGTAGTTCCTTTTAATTGCCAAGTGGCATTCCTTGGTGTGAATGCACCACAGCTGGGCTAGCCACCCAGATGCTGATGGGCAGTCGATAGGCGGTAGGATGTCCCCATTTTCAGTCACTATGAATTGGTCTGCTGTAAGCACTAGAGTAGAAATTTTTTTTTAGAGACAGGGTCTCGCACCGTCATCCAGGCTGGAGGGCAGTGGCTCATAGCTCACTGCAGCCTCAAACTCCTGAGCTCGGGCAATCCTCCCACCTCAGCCTCCCAAGTAACTGAAACTACAGGCACACACCACTACACTTGGCTAATTTTTAAACTTTTTGTAGAGACGGGGTCTTGCTGTGTTGCCCAGGCTGGTCTTGAACTCCTGGGCACAAGCAATCCTCCCACCTCTCAAGTAGCTGTAATAGGTGTAAGCCACTGCCCAGCACCATTTATTGAAGAATCTGTCCTTTCCACAGTGAGTGTGCTTAGCACCTTTGTTGGAAATCAGTCGGCTGTAGAAAGCGGATTAATTTCTGGGCCCTCTGTTCTGTTCCATTGGTCTGTGTGTCTGTTTTTATGCCAGTTCCATGCTGTTTTGGTTACTGTAGCTTTGTAGTGTATTTTGAGTCTGGGAGTGTGATGCCTCCAGCTTTGTTCTTTTTGTTCAGGATGGCTTTGGCTGTTTGGGGTCTTTTGTGGTTCCATACAAATTTTAATATTATTTCTTTTTCTAAAAAGAATGCCATTGGTATTTTGATAGGCATTGCCTTAAATGTGTAGATTACCTTGGGTAGCACAGTCGTTTTAACAATATTAGTTCTTCCAATCCTTGAGCATGAGATGTCTTCTCATTTGTTCATATCCTCTTCAGTTTCTTGCGTCAGTTTTTTGTAGTTTTCCTTGTAGAGGTCTTTCACCTCTTTTGTTAAATTTATCCCTAGGTATTTTATATTATTTGTTGCTATTGGAAATAGGATTGCCTTCTTGATCTCTTTTTCAGCTAGGTTTTTGTTTGTGTATAGAAATGCTACTGATTTTTGTATATTGCCAGGGGCAGCCTGTGGGACTTTTTCTTAGGCCCTTATTGGAGGCACAGAGCCATTGGGCAGGCCAGGGGCGTACCTGCAGGTGGGGGTGCCGTGGGGCTGATTTTCAGGCCCTGAGCTCCTGCTGTCAGTTGCTTGGAGGCTGGTGGGGCCTATGTGGGGAGACCTGCAGCTGTTTGGCTCAAGGGTGGGTTTGCTGCAGGTGGGAGGAGCAGACAGCTGGAAGAGCTGCGGTGGGGATGGGTTTCCCTGCTGTGCAGGACCAGAGTCACAGCTAAGCCTGGGCCCAAGCTCTATGCAGCTGGGGTTGTGGTGTTCAGCTGCCCATGTGGGCTTGGTGGCATGAAAGTGGAGCCCCAGTGCTGGAGAGGTGCAGGTGCTACTGGCCCCAGGGCAGAGCCCCTCCAGATGCAATAGCAGCTTGGCTCATGGCATGGGTGTGGGGTGGGAGGTGCACACCTTTTGCTCCTAATCGGGGGAACACTGCTGTGAGAATTCCCTGCAGTGCTCCCAACTGGGCTCAGGGCTTGCAAGGACTGTGGGTTCTCCTGCAGCAAGGACTGCCAGCATTTGCTGTAGCAGTGGCAGCTGGTGGAGATCTGCTTACCTTTTCCTTGCCACTGGAAGTCCCTCTTTGCTTCTAGGTCAAACTGGTGGGTGAGGAAGACTGGGCAGCAGACGCCACCTGGGCTTCCGAGCACCACAGGGGTGTCTCCGGCCTCTGCTGCAGTCCAGCACTCTGCCTTCGACGCTCCAGTCAAATTGTCACTGTCAACTTGTTGCCTTGATCCTTCTTTGTGGGGAGGAGGGGATGAGCGCCAGACAGTTCTAGTCAGCCCTGTTGCCAACACCACTCTCCTTCTGGTGACTTTCAAAGAGAAAAGTTGAACATTTTTACTACACCCAACGTAATCATGTTTCAGTGATAAGAGTTTTTGAATTTTGCTGTATGTGTTTTGAATTTCTGTTAGTAGGAGCATACTCATTTGGGGTCATTGTGTCCTCTTGATGTCTTGACCCTGTTGTCTTTGTTTATCCCTGGTGATGTTCTTTGTTCTGACATCTGCTTTGTGTCGTGTCAACATAACTACTTCAGCTTTCTTTTGACAGCGCTTCCCTGGCATGCCCTTTTCTCTCCTTTAACTTTTAACCTACCTGTGTTTTAAATATACATATGTATCTATCTGTCTATCTACACATTTTTTTTTGAGATGGAGTTTTGCTCTTGTCACCCAGGCTGGAGTGCAATGGCACTATCTAACTCTCACTGCAACCTGTGCCTCTTAGGTTCAAGTGATTCTCCTGCCTCAGCCTCCCGAGTAGCTGGGATTATAGGCACCTGCCACCATGCCCAGCTAATTTTGTAGTTTTAGTAAAGTCAGGTTTTCACCATGTTGGCCAGGGTGGTCTCGAACTCCTGACCTCAGGTGATCCACCTGCCTTGGCCTCCCAAAGTGCTGGGATTATAGGTGTGAGCCACCACGCCCAGCCTATTTTCTTTTTTTTAAGTAAAATTTTGAGACAGGGTTTTGCTCTATCACCCAGGCTGGACTGGAGTGCAGTGGTGCCATCTTGGCTCACTGCAGCGTCACCCTCCCAGGCTCAAGCAATCCTCCCACCTCAGCCTCCCAAGTAGCTGGGACCACAGGGGTTCACCACCACACCCAGGCAATATTTGTATTTCTTATAGAGATGGAGTTCCACCCTGTTTCCCAGGCTGGTCTTGAACTCCTGGACTCAAGCAATCCTCCCACCTCAGCCTCCCAAAGTGCTGAGATTACAGGCATGAGCCACCATGCTTGGCCTTAACCTATCTGTGTATTTATATTTAAAACGGGTTTCTTGTAGGCGGCTTAGAGTTAGTTCTGTATTTCAATCAACAATCTCTGCCATTTAATTAGAGTGTTACATCATTTAAATTTAATTATCAATGTTTTCTTATTTGTCCTATTCATTCTTTGTTCTTTTTCCTCTTTTTTCTTCCTGCTTTTAGAATTATAAATTTATCTTTTTTGGATTCAAATATGTCTTCTTATTGGCTTTTCAGCTAGATCTTTTTGCTTTACTTGTTCAGTGTTTTTTTCTACAATTGTCAATTTGCAGCTTAAACTTAAGCTAGTCTACTTCCAGATATTATAACCCTTCATGTGGATTTTAATGACTTTAAACAGTAACGTTCCATTTCTGTTCTATTCCTTTCTTTATTGTCATACATTTCACTGTCACGTGAAATACAGCTGATATATACCCTTTAGCCTCAATAACTTCCTTTAGCATTTTGTGTTATGCAGATCTACTGAAAATGGATTCTACCAATTGTCATTTGTATGGAAATATCCTTAATTTGCCCTCGTTTTTTGAAAGATATTTTCACTAATTCTCTAGGTTGATGGGCACTTTTTCTTCTGTCATGTTAAATCACATCGTTCAGTCCACTGTCTTCTGACTTGCATTGCTTCTGATGACAGATTGGCAGCTGTTCTTCTGTGTTTCTTTGTGTTTTGTGTGTATTTGTCTGGCGCTTTTGCCTTGTCTGTCCTGCTTGGGGCTTACTGAGCTTATCAATCTGTGAGATTCAAGTCTGAAAATGTTGCAGTGAAGGTTTCTTCAAATATTTCTCTGCCTGCCTCTTCCTTTTGGGACTCCAGTTATATGTATATGAGCTGCTTGATGCTGTTTCAATGTCAGTGAGGTTCTGTTTATGTTGAAACTTTTCTCCCGTCTCCGTGCTTAGGTTTGAATACTTTCTAATGCTTGTATTCAAGTTCACTGGTATTTTTCTGCAGTTTTCAAACTGCTGCTAAGCTCATATTATGAATTTTTCATTTCAAAGGTATTTTTCATCTCAGAGGTTCCATTTAGTTATATATATACATAATATATTTTGCCAGGATATATCCTTTGGTTAAAAAAAAAGTCTGTAGGTATTAAAAGCAGGGTTACGTTGAATGACCTTGAACATCCATTTTCTGATATTTTGTGACTTTAAGGTAGCTGCTTAGAAGTGGAATTGAAGGATGCAGTTGTGAATGCACACAGGTCTTTCCGGGCATCTCTGAGCTTCTTCCCGCAGGGGCTGTGCTGTTTGCATCCCAGCAGCAAAGCATGAGGTTGTGTGTTTCCCTGCAGCCTCCCCATCAAGGTGTGCTGGTGACCTTGTGGAGTTTTGCCAACCTGTTAGGAGAGATGTTGTAACTCAGTGTTTTCATTTCTAATTCTCGGATCATGAAAACTAACAGGCTTGGCTTGGTGTGGTGGCTCATACCTGTAATCCCAGCACTTTAGGAGGCCAAGGCGGGTGTAACACCTGAGGTCAGGAGTTCAAGACCAGCCTGGCCAGCATGGTGAAACCCCGTCTCTACTAAAAATACAAAAAATTAGCCGGGCGTGATGGTAGGCGCCTGTAATCCCAGCTACTCAGGAGACTGAGGCAGGAGAATTGCCTGAACCTGGAATGTGGAAGTTGCAGTGAGCCGAGATCGTGCCACTGCACTCCAGCCTGGGCAAGAGAGAGAGAGACTCCATCTCAAAAAAAAAAAGAAAAAAGAAAACAACGGGCTTATTTACAGCAGGAGCTGTGGTGCCCTTGGGGGATGTGTGAGCTCCAGGGATGACAGCAACCACCATCTGTTCATCTCAGCACTTGGGAGACAAGCCCTGTAGGATTCATTCAGTAAAAATAAAATCCTACGAAGTGAATTTGTAGGCTTGGGGAAGTGTGGACAATGCAGTTTGGGCATCACCTACGTACAAGCAGAATTCGCAGGAACAGCTCCTGGGCATTGGGATGAAACATGGCCCCTGCCATCTGCTTCTTGGTGTCAGGCCGGCCTCCTGCTTCCCGCCTTTGTTGCCAGCGTGGAGGAAGCAGAGGTCAGGGAGGCAGTCACTGCTTGTCCCTGACACGGGACTCAGTCTCCAGACAAGGCGGCTGCTCTCAGTGTCCTGTCTCATGACTCCAGGAAGGCCCCTCCCTGTAGAGTGTCAGCAAGTGCCCACGACCCACCCACAGAGCAGCTGAGCAGTGCCTAGCGCGCAGGGCAGGCCACACGGCGCCACCATCAGAGCACGAGAACAGAAGGGCTGGGGGCCGTGGGAGCCTGGGCGGGCCAGGGTAACGAAGAGCCCGCCGTCGGTCTCTGCATCCGTCGGCTCACGTGGCCACGGAGCAGCACCGTGTTACAGCAAAGCGGTCCTGATCCAGAACCCAAGAGAGGGTTCTTGGATCTCGCACAAGATAGAATTCAGGGGGAGTCCGCAGTCCCATGTGGAAGTGAGTTTATTAAGAGAGTAAAGTGGCGAAAGGACGGCTGCTCCACAGACAGAGCAGGGCATTCCCGAAACTAAGAGGAGAAAGGCGCCCACCTGGGGTACAATCCTGGTGTATACGGGGAGATGTGCTCTGCTACGAGCGTTGATGATAAAGAATTAATTTTCTTAATTAGTATATTTTGCAAGAATCAATATCATTTATCTTTAAGGCAAAATTAGGAATGCCTTTGTTCTCTGGATATCGGGGTATCTGGACTCCCAAGTCTGGGTCTGTTTAGTAAACATTATTTATTTGTTCCTTTATCTCTAAACGTCTAGAGGCTGGGAATGCCCGACTCTCTGGGAGTGGAGCCTAGCAAGTCCTAGCCTCGTTTTCCAGCCCTCACTCGAGGTGGAGTCGCTCTGGTTCCAGCGCCTCTGACGACCGCAGGCTGGGGCTTAGACAGGACATTTATTGCTCAAAGTACAGTCCATGAGGCTGGCGGTCCCAGATCCAGGTGTGGCAGGGCTACTTCCTCCTGAGGCCTCTCCTTGGCTTCCAGACACCGTCTTCTCCCTGAGTCCTCACCGGGTCGCCCCTCTCTGCGTGTCCGCCTCCTGATCTCCTGTTCTTACAAGGACACCAGTCACAACGGGCCCACCCTCTTGATCTCATTTAACTGAAATCCTTTCTGTAAAGACCCCATCTCCAAATACCGTCACATTCTGAGGTCCTGGGGGTCAGGACTTGAACATTTAAACTTGGAGGCAGGCACAGTCCCACCCATCACAGCCCATTGTCCTCCACAGCCCTCCAATCTCACTTCGAGTCTTCCCCAAGGGTCAGCACAGGCTCTGCCCTTGTGAGCTTCATGGGAATGAGGGTCAAGGGGGTAATGAGGGCCGGAAGTGATCGGAGGGAGGCGGGAAGAGGGAGGACTTGGACTCCGCCCACGGGGTCCCCACCTGGGCATGGCTGTAGGGAGGGGCATCGTGCTGCTCTTGTCCTTACTGGGGGCCAGTGTCTGAAGGAGGAAGGGATGGGTGGCAGGCACTGCGGGGAGGAGAGGGCTCTCCAGCACTCATATTTTCATCCTTTGACCGTGCTGCCTGGGCACTGAGCATAGGAGGATGTCGCTGGCTGGCAGGGCTGTCACCCTCATCGATGGCCCAGTTTCCCAGGAGGAAATGGATGGGATGGCAGGTTTCAGCAGAGAGCACACAAGCCCTGCTATTATCTTACAAAAAGCCAGGCCAGCCTCCCACAGCTCTCCATGTGACTTAGCATCAATATTGGGGGTTTTGTAGTTACCTCAGGAAACCTACTTTTGAACAAATAATAGATTATGTTCTCTGGAACACAGGGGGAGCTAAATGCCTTTTGACAGCCAGCAGCTTATGGAAATAGCCCTTTTCCTGGCAGAAGAAGTCGGTTCCCCACGGCCGCGCCCGCTGCTTCATCCAGCTTCCCCTCGCTCTGTGCCGACGGGTGCCCGGAGTTCAGCCCCTGGCCTGACTGTTGCTGTCACTGCCCCCTTGACCACTGCAATGGTGACAGCTGTGATGTACGATTACAAAGCGGGACACAGAGCCCTCCCAGAGCAAGGCAGCTCCCCTGTGGGCCAAGCGGACCAGGCTACTGGGGGACCCTGGGCTCCTGGGACATGGGGTGCGGGTGCAGACAGGGCCTGAAGTGCTCCTAGGTGCATGCCAGTGGCAGGAAGCCCCATGTCACAGAGATGTGGCCCAAGCGCTTGACAAGAGACGGCGTCAGATGATGTAAAAGAAACCAATGGACCTAAGTGGGTGCCATCCTGAGCCCCGCTGGTGGATTAACTCAGTTCCATGCCCACGACTGCCCGAGGTGGAGCGATGGTCATGCCCACTGCACAGATGAGGAGCCGAGGCCAGGAAGGGTTTTGCCAGATGCCTGGGCTGGGGCCAGGGCTCAGGACCACCCACTGAACTGCCTGCTCGGCCCACCCTGGCAAGTGTGTGCAAGGGCCCGGTGGTGCCGACGAGGAGGGCCATGGGGAGGAGATGTTGTTGTCCTGAGACTCCCAGCCCCACCTGAGGGGGAAGAGGGTGGGAGAGCAAGGCTGGGAGCCACCCTTGGGGGCTGTGCATGTGCCCCCTGACATTGGAGGACACAGGCCACGCCACACCTGTGCCACCCAGGGAGTGGGAAGGAAGCACGTGGCCGTGGAGAGGCCAGCAGGTGGCAGGAAGGGCTGCAAGCCCCCAACCACGGGGTCACACGTAGGGGACCCAGCACCCCATGCAGGAGCTGGGCTGTGCCCTGCATCTGCACAGGCCGGGGCATGAACTGGGCATCAGCACCGCCCTCCCATGGGGACGAGGACCCATGCCCGCGTGGTGCAGGAGCTGTGCACTGAGCAGCCCCATGGGCAACTCCAGCCCGCAGTGCCAGGAGCAGGGCCAGGCCTTGTGGCAGGGGTGCAGGCTGGCTCCTGGCGGTCGCTCAGCTCTCGGGGATAGGTGAGGACGCGTGGAGAGGGGATAGCATGGGCATCAAGGCCGAGGCACTGGCCCCTCCCAGAATGGCCTCCAGGACCACCCTGCCTGCCCCCGGGTGCCCCGCTGTGCCTGGGGAGGGTAAGGGTCACTTCGGGTTCACGGCTCCAGGGTCGCCGTCTTGAAATTCTTACCAATTTTATCACTAAGCTTATGTTTTTCAAGCAAGATAGGATGGGCATGGAGCCCCTGCAAGAGCAAGCCACGGGCGCCCTCCGAGCCCATCGCCGCTCAGAACCTGAACAGAGCACATAAGCAAGGCTCACGGCGACCACAGGGCTGGTCGCAGCCAGGACGGGGTGAGGAGCTGCAGCCCCAGCCTCGCCTTCCCTTCAAGCCGAGCAGCTTCCAGTGGGAGGAAACGCCAGCGACCGGGCCCCCGTCCTTCCTCCTCAGGCGGTCCTGTGGAAGGTGCGGTGCTGATGGAACGTGGTGACTGGGAGGTGGCATAAAAGCAGCCACTGTGCTGGTTTTGTGGGACCTCTCCTCCTTTCTGGGGGTCCCTGAGGACAGGTGCATGTGCGAACTGTGAAACAGAAACTGAGATTTCACCTTCCGGATGAGTTCCATGCTTTCTTTTTTGCATTTAAAACCGGACAATGTCACATTGGCAAAAATCTAGAGTTTTCTGCCGTCTTAGCTGGAAATGAGCTGCAAGTTTTTCTCAAGATGTAGTGTGTAATCCGTCAGAGCAAAACACGGAGAGCCCTTAGCAGAAGCCCACTTCAATGTATTTTCTTCATATCCCTGAAGTTCCTTAAAAATAGGTGACGATGTATTGGGAAGAGGAGAACTGAGAAGTTCCCTTGCAGGTTTTGTATCAGTGACATGTAAATGAGCAATTCACAGATGAGCGCGGGCACAGCTCTGTGTGCTGCGTACATACGGGCCGGGCTATGATGTCTCACACTGGATGATATTCCACCTTCGGAATTTTAGTGTTTGAATACAGAAAATGGGTTTAATAACTCACTGTGGTTTTGATTTATCTTATATTCATCATTTCTTAAAACTCATTTCTTATAAAATTTAAAGTAAAAAAAATAAAACTAGACAATATATGAATGGCAGATCCATGCTAATGATTCTAATTTTCAGAATTTCTTTACTTAGAATGACATAAAATAGCAACTAAAAAATAAGTTGAGAAACTGTGGAAAAAGAAAAAGCTAGGCCGGGCACGGTGGCTCATGCCTGTAATCCCAGCACTTTGAGAGGCCAAGGCGGGCAGATCACCTGAGGTCAGGAGTTCAAGACCAGCCTGGCCAACATGGCGAAACCCCGTTTCTACTAAAAATACTAAAATTAGCTGGGCTTGGTGGCTCATGCCTGTAGTCCCAGCTACCTGGGAGGCTGAGGCAGGAGAATCGCTTGAACCCAGGAGGGAGAAGTTGCGGTGAGCTGAGATGGTGACATTGCAGTCCAGCCTGGGCGACAGAGCAAGACTCTGATAAAAAAGAAGAAGTTGTATATTTTACTACCTTGCACAGCACTTTCCCCTGCTTTTTAATGAGGCACTCCACATTTTCACTTTGCACAGTGCCCTGAGTGGGCCAGATGGAGGGACCCTTCTTCTGGGGTCTCACCCTCATGTGGCTGCTGGTCCACACGGGCCCTGACAGTGGCTCTCGGGGTGATCACAGCCTGAGGCTCCTCCTTTCTCAGGCCCTGGTCACTCAAAGGATTCCCGGCGGGGTCCCTCCAGTGAACACCCAGCTCCTGCTTCAGAGCATGAGGGGTGTGAGTTTTCCAAAGGTACCAGCTTTGGACAGATGGGGTGAGATGGTGGCCAAGGGGTCCCTGCAGGGGCCCCTCATGGTCCTGGGGACACCCTGACTCTTCTGGCCGGGTGGAGCACAGCCCCAGCTACCTTTGCACTCTCCAAGGTCCCAGGGGCACCCAGGCTACTGAGTGTCCCAGACATCCACACGCAGGGATTGGGGGACCAGAAGCTGGGGAGCCCTAGGGGTTTTGAGGGCAGAGGGCAGGAGGAGGGTGTGGTTAATGGTGTCCAATGCAGGTGCTAAGCCACAGGAGGAGTGGGCTGTGGCGTGGACGATGCAGGTAGCTGTCAGCATCAATGAGATGTGCAGTGGGCTCATTGGGGGGTGGGGTTTTTTAAGAAAAAAGCCTCGGGGTGTGGCTGCTGGTGGGTCGCCCTGTCAGAGAAGAGAAAGCTGGAGAGGACACAGGGCTGGGGTGGAGGGCAGGTCTGCGGGTTCCAGGGGGCACACTGGAGGGGACACTCAGGGGCTGGAGGCTGTCTTGGGTTGGGACTGAGGCTGGTGTGGGGTCTTCTGCAGGCTGGGACTCATGGTGGGGCTGGGTTCAGGGGTGGGAAGTTGGAGGGGGATGCTGGGAATATCTGCTGTGACAGTAGAAAATGTACATTCAGGATTAGCCTAGTGGCTCACGCCTGTAATCCCAGCACTTTGGGAGGCCGAGATGGGTGGATCACTTGAGGCCAGGAGTTTGAGACCAGCCTGGCCAACATGGTGATACCCCGTCTCTACTAAAAAATAATAAAATCAGCTGAGCATGGTGGCACGCGCCTGTAATCCCAACTACTCCGAAAGCTGAAGCAGGAGAATTGCTTGAACCTGGGCGGCAGAAGTTGTAGTGAGCTGAGATCGCACCATTGCACTCCAGCCTGTGCAACAGAGCAACACCCCGTCTCAAAAAATATATATATATTTATTCTATTTTGTCCCCAGTTCCTGACACAGTGCTTCTTGGAATGTCCTGCATGGTAGGAGGTGAGAATTCATAACAAGCCCCTTTCAACCTCTCCTGAGCTTATGCTATGAGGGGACTCTTGGTAGGCCCCTAGATAGCTTGAGGGTGGTGCTGGTTGCTAGGGGAACCAGCCGTGTGATTGAAGGCTGAAACTTTCAGCCCCATTTCTCAATCTCTGGGGCCAGGGGTTGGAGATGGAGGCCAACGAAAAATCACCAGTGATGTCACCAATTGTGTCCACATGACACCTCCATCAGAAACCCTCGCCCATGGGATTTGGAGAGCTTCAGAGTTGGTGAACACGTCCGCGTGTGGGAGGGGGCACACCCCAAGTCCATGGGGACAATGGAATGTCCTGTGCCCGGGACCCCACCAGCCCTCGCCCCAGGCACCTCCACATCTGGATGTTCCTGCGTATTCTTCACAATATCTTCTCCAAGAAAGCAGTAACGGTAAGCAAAGTGTTTCCCTGACTTCCACGAGCCATCCCAGCAAATTACTGAATTTAAGGAGGGGATGGTGGGCCCATTTGCAGCCACGTTGGACAGACATGTGGGTGGCCTGGGGACACGATGCTTGTGACTGGCTGAGTGGGGGCAGCCTCACGGGCAAAGCTTTCAACCTTCCGGATCTGCGCTAGCGCCGGGCAGTGTTGGAGCTGAATTAAATTGCAGGACACTCGGGTGGTGTCTGCAGAGACCCGGAGAATTGGCTGGTGTGCAAAACCCACACGCTTGTTGTCAGCCGTGTCGTGAATCGAGGAACAGCTTTCCTTTATCCACAAAAAAAGCGAGTTTTCATTCCCTATTCTTAAGTGCGTGGCTCCAGCTTTTGCAATAATTCTAGTCCTTATGGTGAGGAGGGTAATGTGAGCGAGGCTGAGAAAGCTCCGGAGGAGTCCACACGGCCATCCTCTTTCTAGTTCAGCAACAAGAGCCAAAATCAGGTTTCCACGGAAAGTGACTGGCGTTGGCTCTCCATAGGGAAATGAAAGTAAAAGAAGCAGTTTGGCCAGGCGCAGTGGCTCACACCTGTAATCCCAGCACTTCGGGAGGCTGAGGAGGGCGAATCACCTGAAGTCAGGAGTTTGAGACCAGCCTGGTCAACACGGGGGAAACCCTGTCTCTACTAAAAATACAAAAATTAGCCAGGCATGGTGGCGGGTGCCTGTAGTCCCAGCTACTCGGAAGGCTGAGGCAGGAGAGTCACTGGAACTGTGGAGGTGGAGGTTGCAAGTGAGCCGAGATCACGCCACTGCACTCCAGCCTGGGCGACAGAGCAAGACTCTGTCTCAAAAGAAAAAAAAAGCAGCAGTTTGGGCCATGCAGTGAGCGCTCTGTGGACCAGTGGACTCATCTGCTGGGGTCCAGGCAGCCTGGGCTGCTCCTGGTTCTTCCCTCCTCCCTGCATGCACGGCCCTGCACTGCCCTCCCTGGGGCTGCTGTGGGAGTTCTCGGGGCTCTCGGTGGTTGTCCCGCTGGCTGGGAAGGGCTGTGGTGTGTTGGGTGCTGCCTACCCTGAAGTACACGAATTAGGGTTGTGCTGTGTTGGGTGCTGCCCTCCCCAGGGGCTGCTGTGGTGTGGTGCTGGGTGCTGGCTGCCCTCAAGTACATGAATTAAAAGTTGCTTCTCCTCTTGCCAGATGCAGGGAGGAGGCTGAGCAAAGCCCTAGCTCATTTACGTAGAGACAGACACACAGAATTTTTGCAGGAATTTAATGCACTCTGATTTTTCCGGAGATCTAACAATAGCGCACATCAAAGTGGGTGGCACTGGGCTCTGTTCAGAACATTCCAGCAACTGGTCACTGCAGCAGCGCACTCACATGGCGGTGGGCGCTCGGGCTGACCTCACCTTCTGGAAGGTGCACCTGTGTGCGCAGGCATCCGAGTCCATGTCACGTGCTGGCACGGCAATCGCCATCCTTTCACAACAGGTCACGAAGCCGACTGATTTTGAATGGCTGTGTGGGTAATACTGCCCATGACCTTCATTCCAGAGAGCAACAGGCATCAGGAAACGTCTGTCACAACAGGCAGGGCTGGAGCTTGACACGGTTGAGAATCCCTGATGCTCAACCCGTATTTTCTGGCTACCAGTTGAAAGAAAGGGTGAGAGGATGCTTGGCTCCGAGCAAGTGGCTGAGAAACGCAGCCATAACATTCAGCTCCTTCTCACCAAATTCTTTACCCCAAAGAACCCTGGGAGGAAGACACATTTGCTAGGAGCTGGGTACCTGAAATCAAGGTAAGGAAAGGATGCCAGGTTCTCTCCTCCAAATGGCGCTCTGGGCGTCTCCCCTACAATCAGAGAGGAACGAAACTTACACGAACCTTAAACTTCTGTTAGAGGTAAAATAGAATAATAATAATAAATCCCAGTTCAGTGAATTCAGGTTAACCGCAAAGCTCATCGGTTTGGAGAGACGAGCTCTGACCTTTGTGAAATTTTGTGCACAAACAACCTGGAACACTGCTGTGAGAGAGAGGGCTGTGTCCTGGCCAGTGTCGGCCCCACCTGCAGGAAGTGCTTATCTGTTTCATCGGTGAGGTTTGCTGGCTGGGCTTGGGGAATAATGGGTTCCCACTTTCTCAATTGTCTCCAGGGTTTGGAACACAGGGCTCTGCGCCTCTTTCTTCACTTGCTGTTCCACAGAGAAGGTGACCCGAGCTGCACAGTCCAAACCGAAGGACACTTAGTCCCCAACTGGATGAAACAGGGAAGAAGCGAAAGCATCTTCATCTATCGGTCTCAGTATTTGAAATTTTGCTTTCTAGATAGGCAGACCAACGGAATAGAAGATAAAGTCTACAAATAGAACCAAATATATGTAGAGATTAGGTATACAATGAGGTGGAAAAAGACGGACTTTTGACAATAAGTTTTTGGGACAGTTGGATAGCCACATAGAAAATGATACAACTGGCCAGGCACAGTGGCTCACACCTGTAATCCCAGCACTTTGGGAGGCCGAGGAGGGCAGATCACGAGGTCAAGAATTCGAGACCAGCCTGGTCAATGTGGCGAAACCCATACATCTACTAAAAATACAAAAGTGGCCAGGCGTGGTGGCTCATGCCTGTAATCCCAGCACTTTGGGAGCTGAGGTGGGCAGATCACGAGGCCAGGAGTTTGAGACCATCCTGGCCAACACAGTGAAACCCCATTTCTACTAAAAATACAAAAATTAGCCGGGTGTGGTGGCGGGTGCCTGCAATCCTAGCTACTTGGGAGGCTGAGGCAGGAGAATTGCTTGAACCTGGGAAGCGGAGGTTGCAGTGAGCTGAGATCGTGCCACTGCACTCCAGCCTGAGTGACAGAGCAAGACTATCTCGAAAAAAAATAAAAGAAAACTAAAAGATACAACTTAACCTTTAGCTTATTTTCCACACCAGAATAATCCCCAAAGACCAGAGATCTTCATGCGAGAAGGAAGTAAGGTCTGGCTGAAAACACAGCTGCAGGATGTCACAGGAGAGGAAAAGGCTTTCTAACCATATCTTATAATTTAGAAGAACAAATACAAGATTGCCAAAATTTATCACTTAAAATAATGTATACTCAGGTCTGGCACGGTGGCTCACACCTATAATCCCAGCATTTTGGGAGGCCGGGGCAGGAGGATCACCTGAGGTCAGCAGATTGAGACCAGCCTGGCCAACATTGTGAAACCGTATCTCTACTAAAAATACAAAAATTAGCCAGGCCTGGTGGCACACGCCTGTAACCCCAGCTACTAGCGAGGCTGAGGCAGGAGAATTGCATGAATCCGGGAGGTGGAGGTTGCAGTAAGCCGAGATCGCATCACTGCACTCCAGGAGCATCTCAAATATGTGTGTGTGTGTGTGCGCGCGTGTGTGTGTGTGTGTGTGTGTATACTCAATCAAAATCCTAGCAAGTTATTTTGTGGCTATTGAGAAATGATTCTGAAGTTTACATAGAGAGAGGAAAGACCCAGCACAACCAACACAAAATTGAAGAACAAAGTCACGGGACTCATGCTGCCCGGCTCCTAGGCTCCTGATGAAGCTGCACTAATCAAAGCAGGGTGGTGAATGAAAGATGGAGGAGGGGGCAGGTAGGGGGTGGATAAGGGGGCGGGTAGGGGGCGGATAAGGGGGCAGGTGGGGCGGATAAGCGGGGGGTGGGTAGGGGGCGGGTAAGGGGGCAGAGTGCAGAACCCAGAAACAGACCCATGTGGATGCAGTCAGAGGAGCAAAGCCAATTCCATGGGACAAAGAGTCTTTTCAACAAATGGTGCTGGGACAACAGGACACCCATGTGCAGGAAAGCAAATCCAGACACAGACTTCCCACCCTTCACAAAAACGAACTCAAAATGGATCAGACCTCAATGTAAAACACAAAACTATAACGCTCCTAGAAGATAACATAGAATAAAACCCAGATGGCCTTGGGCATGAGATGACGTTTTAGATTCAACATTCAACATGCCTGTTGGATCTAAAAGGCATGATCCATGAGAGAAATAATGGATAAGTTGGACTTCATTAATGTGAGAAACTTCTGCTCTGCAAGAGACTCTGTCAAGAGAAGACAAGCCACAGACTGGGAGAAAATACTTGCAAAAGACTTATCTGATAGAGGACAGTACTGAAAATATGCAAAAAACTCTTAAAACTCAACAATAACAAATGGACAATAGATTTTAAAAGTGAGCAAAATACTGGAACGTAAATCTCACCGAAGAAGTTCTGCACATGGCAATACGTGTGTGAGAATGTTCAGCGTCACGCATCATCGGAGAAATGCAAATTACACCAACACTGAGACACCACACACACCTACTAGCATGGCCAAAACCCAGGGACTGGCAACATCAAATGCTGACAAGGATGCGGAACAGCAGGAACTCTTGTTCATCGCTGGTGGGAATGCAAAATGGGGCCGCCGCTGTGGAAGACAGTTTGGCAGTTTCTCACAAAACTAGACATGATCTCACCGTACGGTCCAGTAATCATATTCCTCGGTATACACCCAAAGGGACTGAAAACTTCTGTCCGCACAAAACCTGTACATGGGTGTTTATAGCAGTTTTATTCATAAGTTTCAAAACCTGGAAGCAACCGAGATGCCCTTCAGTAGGTGAATGGGTAAGCAAGCTGTGGCACATCCAGACAGTGGACTCAGCACTAAAAGGAAATGAGCTCCCAAACTATGAAAAGGCAGGGAAAGAACTTAAATACTTATCACTGAGTGAAAGTGGCCAATGTGAAAAGGCTACACCCTGTGGGGTTCCAACTCTAGGACATTTGGGAAACGGCAAAACCATGGAGATGTTAAATAGATCAGTGGTTGTCAGAGGCTGGGGGGAGGGAAGGTTGAACAAGAGGAGCATAGAGGATTTTTAGGGCAGTGAAACTCCTCTATGTGATGCTATAATTGTAGACACGTGCCGTTAGATATTTGTCCAAACCCTTAGAGAGTACAGCACCGAGACTGAGCCTGAATGTAGGCTTCAGGCGCTGGGTGATGACGACAGGGGTCAGTGCAGGAGAATCAGCTGTAACACATGCACCTCTGGTGGGGAAGTTCATCTTGGGGAGGCTGTAGTTGGGGAGGGGGGCTATAGGAAATCTCTGTACCTTCGTCTTAATTTTACTGTGAACCTAAAACTGCTCTAAAAAATAAAACATTAAAAATGAAATATACAGGCTGGGCACAGTGGCTCACGCCTGTTAATACCAGCACTTTGGGAGGCCAAGGAGGGTGGATCACCTGAGGTGGGAGTTCAAGACCAGCCTGGCCAACATGGTGAAACCCCGTCTCTACTAAAAATATAAAAATTAGCTGGGCGTGGTGGCGCATGCCTGTAATCCCAGCTACTCGGGAGGCTGAGGCAGGAGAATTGTTTGAACCCAAGAGGCAGAAGTTGTGGTGAGCCAAGATGGTGCCATTGCACTCCAGCCTGGGCAACAAGAGCGAAACTCCGTCTCAAAAAAAAAAACCAAAAAACAAAAAAAACAAAACAAAACAAAAAACCAAAAAATACACATTTTTGCATGAACAAAAGCCCATGAAGAAAATCAAAGGTGTAGCACATGGGGAAATGAAAGCCATAGCACATGAGAAAATGCTTCCAACTTATCGCACAAAGGATCAAGCTCTGCAAACTATAACAAGCTCCTAAAAATCAAGGCAAAAACCCAATTATCTGTTGGAAAAATGGGCAGAAAAAGAAAGGCAATGGGCAGAAAAAGAAAGGCAATGGGCTCTCCCCTGTGAAGACACACTCAGCCTCACTTACAGTAAAAGTGCACCACACCCCAGGTCCTCTGCACGCCATTTCCCACCCATCAGATAGTCCGAGAGGCAGACTTCCAACAGCGCCTCTGCATCCCCAAGGAGATGGGCGGCTCATGGGGCACTGCTGCCTGGGAGGGGAGGTGGCTTTTGTTGGAGGGCCTCCCACTTACCCAGCTACAGCAACAAATGTGACATCTGTCCCTGAGATGGCCAGACACGCAGCAAGTGCTCCATGCTGTTCACTGTGGCATCACATGTAGTGGCAAAGGTTTGGAAACACCCAAATATCAAAGAGCAGAAGGTTTAATAAATAACTGAGACACACCCACAAAATGCATCTGTAAAGAAGAATAAAAAAGGTATCTCTGTGCTGATAGGCAGTTATCTTCCAGAGGTGGCGTTCTAAGTGCAAGGGAGGCGGGAGAGCGGTGGGGCTTATTTCTTGGTCACAGCCTTGCTGACCAAAGCCGGACCCGGTCCAGATGAGGTGAAGTGGAGAAGCTGGCAAAGACCAGCAGATGGTAAGAGGGCAAAACCTGGCTGCCCTTGTTGGTCACTAGCCTAAGACATGCCTACCAGTGCCATGACAGTTTACAAATGCCATGACAGTTTACGGAAATTACCACTGCTTTTTATGGCAATGACCTGGAAGTTATCACCCCTTTCCTAGAAAGTTCTATATAACCTGCCCCTTAATTTGCATTGACCTGTCCCTTAAGTTGCACGTAATTGAAAGCGGGTAGAAGTGGGTATAAATACAGTTGCCAACAACCCATATGCTGTGGACTCTGGGCACACTGCCTATGAGTCAGCCCCACTCTGCAAGGAACAGTGCTGGTCAATAAAAGTTTGCTGCCTAACACTGCCGGATTGCCCTTGAATTCTTTCCTGGGCAAAGCCAAGAAATCTCCTGGGCTAAGCCCCAGTTTTGGCCTGCATCACCTGGCAGCCATGAAGATGAAACAGTGGGGATGGCAGTGGTGGGTGGAGGGGTGGTGAGACAGCAGAGAGGTGATGGTCCACAGTGGGTAGGACAACTGCCATCTCTCAAAAGAAGTGGTGAGGTGGCAATTGACAAGAAGGCTGGACGGTGGAGAGGTAGCAAGACGGCAACCAGCCGTCTGGTGACTGGCTACACAGTGACTGGTGAGATGGGAAGAAGCAGCAATCAGAGATGGCGATTGGCTCTGCAGCGATCAAAGAAAATCAAAGTCATAGAGCGGCTAGTGCAGCGGAGCTGTAACCTCAGCCAAAGGCTCTCTTCAGAGCCGTCATCTTTCCTGGTAGGCAGCAGAGCCAAGTGGTTGGGGGAGTGGCCACAGTGCCACCACCACGCATGGGACCCCTGCCCTGGCTGGCAGGTCACCGGTCCATGTGCCAGTCTCCTCACAGCAGCTGAGCCTGCCCAAGCTGGGGAAACCCTGGGAGGAGACCTTTACCTAGGGATTAAGGTGGAGAATGATCAGCACCATTTTGGCCCCTGTGGTTGGGTGAGTGTCCTCCCCTCTGCCCACCCCTGCCAATATGAGCCAGGAAATTAGGCCTCTGGCTAGATGGTCAGTTTGAAGTCCCCGTAGCACACCTGACCAGCCACATCCTTGTCATTCCTTCTCTCGATCCTTTCTCCTCTAATGCCATTTCATTGCCTGTTGGCCATTTTAATTTCTGCTTTGAAATGTACGTTTCATCTGCAATTTTTGCTTTGGCTCCCTGCTAACTCTACTTGGGCAGTTACTTAAGGAAGGACACTTGGTTGTGGGAGGTCCCCTGTTGTGCTGACCCTAGGACAGCAGGGTCATGTTGTTCTGTGGCCCCAGCTTGGCCTTTGGGGTTCACTGTGGGCCACCAGCTAGATGCTCTGGGGTTTTCGACATTGGTGTGGGGACCCTTGTTGGCTGATACTCGACTGCTCTGGGTTTTTGGCATTTGGGATTGTAGGCCACCCCCAGACGCTCCAGAGTTTTTGGCACTGGTATTCCCTCTAGGATTGTGGCGTTAGAGGCCACCCTAGGGGAATCTTGGCCTTGCCTTTTCTGGTTTCGTACCGAAAGTTATTTTCTGAAACAGCATTTTCTTATTGTCACTTTATCTACACTTTTCCTTCTACGCTTTGCTTAGTAAAAATAGTTGTTTTGTCATATTTTGTTTGCCAGCACTTTTTTAATGACTTGCTACCTTGACTTATTCCTTCTCTGCAGGACATGGGAATCTGAAAGGGGATGACAGCAAAGGTCCAGCTGCTTCTGCTCTTGCTAGACTTAGAAAAATGCCTGTGCCCAGTAGAAATCCTTGCTAGACGTAAGGATGATGATGAGCATCCCAGAACACTTGCAGCTGGAGTGTCTTTTATGCTGGCCAGTGTTTGATGTTCTTCAGGGTACTAGTTCTAGCCCAAGAACAATTGGCATAAAGCTGTGGTTAGACCTGCAGATTTCTGAGCACTGGTCGTGGTAAGAGCCTGGTGGTGTAGACATTAAGGTTGCTTGGTTTCGATGTTCTGGAATTGCATCTGTTTTCAGGCCCGGTGACGGTACGGCTCATGAACGTAAAACGTCTTCTGACGAAATCAGTATATGAATTGATATTTCTATAGGGAAGACTACTCAATTGTCAACTTCATCATAGCTTATAGTAATCAATAGCTTTCCCGGCTTTAGATCTGTTGAGTATGGAAGAGTCAAAATTTAAGTCTTCATAATCTGCATATTCATAGCATCAGTATCATCAGTGTCCTGTAGTTTTGATGGTAAGCGAAGGGTTGTTAATTTCATCTTTGATGTATAGAATATGTAATAGATGAAATTCGGCTTAAAGAAATTCATTTTCTATTGCAAGACCATTTGGGTCCAACACAAAAATTAGAAAATCAAGAGAACTGGTCTAAACATGGTTCTACACATTATAATGCTATTTCACAATTGGACTTATTCCATAAAAAAGAAGAAAAGTGGGAGGAGGTCCCGTATGTACAGGCTTTTATGGCCCTTTACTGGCTCATGTTACTTCCAGGCACCAGGAAGGCACATCTAAGGGAACCCCTCATAGCTGCTCCCCCTAGAAGGCCTGTGCCCTCCTTGGACCCTCCTCAGTTCCCCAATTCTGAGGGGGTGTTCAGCCAGCGCAGGATTCCACCCAGGGCCATCAGGCCCCCACCCCCCTTATCCAACTAGCCCCAGCCTATACCCCCAACTGCCAAGAAAGCAGGTCCAACGGGCACCCCCAGAAGCAGGGCCCCATATCAGCCCTTCAAGTCAAACTTGTGTCTGTGGCAAGAGGCAGCTGACGGAAATGGGGGCACTTGGAGTGCAGGTGCCATTTTCTATGTCTGACTTGGCTTCATGCAAGGAGGCACGTGGCCGGTTTTCAGATAATCCGGGGTTTTATGGAAGAATCAAGTCTACCATGCTCTTTCACTTGTCATGACTTACAAGCATTGTTGCTCACTTGCTGTGACATGAGGGAGAGGCAGAGGGAGACGTGTGAGATTAAGCCAGTCAGTTATGACAAGGTTAGAGAAATAACTCATGGAAGGATGAAAATCACACTGTTTCAAGGTAGTTTGGTTGAGGTACTCGGGAAACGTATTGACGCAGGCCCCAACTCCCCAGAAGGGCAAGGTCTCCTGGGTATACATTTTATCCCTGAACCTGCCTCCGACATGAAGAGGAAGCTACAGAAAGCAGAAACGGGACCTGAAACCCCTATGAGCCAACTCCTAAACATGCCCTTTAAAGTTTGCAACAATACGAACAGGGCAAGAGGTAGAATTAAAAGCAAGATAAATAGCCAAAATGTACAATTGCTAACAGTTGCTGTCAGTGCCTTGCCCCTCAGCCTTACCCATCCTGAGAGTGTGTTTTAAGATTGGCATCTGACATGCCCAGACAAGAGCTCTTGACTTGCTGGCCCCTGGGTCAGAATCAGTGTGCCTACCATAAGCAAAAGGGCCATTGGCAATGAGAATGTCCTAACCCTCCCTGGTGAGAAAGATAAAAGCTGCCTGTCAATACTAGAGTTAACCTTCTGCTAGTCCCAATGAGGTGTTTTTTGTTTTTTGAGATTGTCTCGCTCCATCACCCAGGCTGGAGTGCAGTGGTGCAATCTTGGCTCGCTGCAACCTCCATCTCCTGGGTTCAAGCGATTCTCCTGCCTCAGCCTTCCAAGTAGCTGGGACTACAGGTGTGCGCCACCACGCCTGGCTAATATTTTGTATTTTTAGTAGAGACAGGGTTTCACCATATTAGCAAGGATGGTCTCTATCTCCTGACCCCAATGAGGTGTTCTGCTCAAGTAAGTGTACTGGGGGCCTCAGACCCTTGGCCTGGTGGATGGCTTCCTGCAGGCTGACAAGTGGCCACTTCAACATTTTTCTTTGGTGTCTCCGCTGCTGGGTGAGCTCTCTGGTGGCTCAGGGACTGCAAGGTTTCACACTGAGCCATATAATTCACCACCACCCCCCTTTCCTACAGAATCTTTCTCCACTTCCCCTTGTCTTTCATACTTATCAGGGCAAATAAAATTTGGTCAGGTAAACAGGTCCCAATTTTATAAATAATTTGGGTCCAGCTGTCTTGTACAGGTCACTTCATTTGCATGATATGTGTTGTGACTAGCATGCTATCACATTGGCTTATAAATAAGAGTGCTCATAAATTAAACAAATAAGTCTAAACATGTTAGTTTGAAGGGAATGTTGTGTCTTCTAAAATTTAATTTTTACCTAGGTAAACCAGATGTTCATAGGTTTTGGAATGGTTAAAATGGCTTTAGGTAGTGAGTTTTGTATGGCTTAAAAATCTTGAAACTGTAGAATGCTTCTCATCTACAGGATGCTAATGTCTGTTGGGCAGTTGAAGATTTCTTGCTTCCTACCTGTATATAAAATGTGCTAGGGAAGATACATTATTGGGAAAAGAATAACTTTTGTCCAGAAAGTATTAAATGAGGGGCTCAAAATATGAGGGAACCAGTACGAGTAGAAAAGAGAGAAGTGGGGAGTTATACATACATACATTTTTTTTTTCAGGAGGGGTATGAAGACTGACTTACAGGTGCCCGCCACCATGCCTGGCCAATTTTTGTATTTTTAGTGGAGACGGGGTTTCACCATGTTGGCCAGGCTGGTCTCAAACTCCTGACCTCAGGTGATCCACCCACCCCGGCCTCCCAAAGTGTTGGGATTACAGGCGTGAGCCACTGCGCCCGGCCAAGAAAGACTGACTTTGTATGAGAAAGGATCTCTGGTCCCAGAATAAAGAGACTGGTTGTGAGGGAGGTGTAGGACAGGTCAGAGAGTCCAGGCATGTCATGGGTGGTCTGTGTGGGTTGTAATGGGGTTTGTGAAGGGGAACTTCTGAGAGTAGTTTTGTGTGCAATTAAGCCTGCTGTGATTAAAGAAATTTTTTTTTTTTTTTTTGGAGACAGAGTCTCACTCTGTCACCCAGGCTGCAGTGCAGTGGCATGATCTAGGCTCACTGCAACCTCTGCCTCCCGGGTTCAAGTGATTCTCCTGCCTCAGCCTCCTGAGTAGCTGGGACTACAGGTGCCCACCACCACGCCTGGCTAATTTTTGTATTTTTAGTGGAGACAGGGTTGCACCATATTGGCCAGGCTGGTCTCGAACTCCTGGCCTTGTGATCTGCCCGCCTTGGCCTCCTAAAAGTGCTAGGATTACAGGCATGAGCCACTGCACCCTGCTGATTAAAGAAAAATGGTTTGTGGTAGACTTTCTAGGGAATGATCTATGTATTGGAACTGGGTTTTCTTAAGGTATTGATTTATTAAGTTATGAGAATTTTTGCTTTTAATGCTATAACCAGCTTCTTCTAAAACTTCTTTGGGCTGAGTGCGGTGGCTCACGCCTGTAATCCCAGCACTTTGGGAGGCCAAGGCAGGTGGATCACTTGAGCCTAGGAGTTCACAACCAGCCTGGGCAACATGGCAAAAACCCATCTCTACAAAAAAAAAACAACAAAAAAAAACACCACACACCACTTTTTAAAAAAAATGTAGTGTGGGTGTGGCGCACATCTGCAGTCCCAGCCACTTGGGAGGCTGAGGTGAGAAGATCACTTGAGACCAGGAAGTCAAGGCTGCAGTGAGCTGTGATCACACCACTGCACTCCAGCCTGGGCGAGAGTGCGAAACCCTGTCCCACAAAACAAACAAAAACTGCTTGGGTTGGTGTCCCAGAGGTTCAGCTGTTGTGTCCCACTGCTGTTAAACTGCAGGAAGTCACTCGCTGGGTACACCTGTCCAGGGTTAAACCTGCGTCTTCTGCGTCCCTGCAGGCATGAGGGGAGGACAGCATGCCCTTCACCTGTGAGCCCCTGGAAGGTGTAAAGCTGTTGTTTTGCAAATACACAAATCACATGGCGAGGAGCACGTGCAGTCATCAGCCATACCGATTCTTCTTGCCTGGTTTTGACCTTTCTCAGGGCCTTTAATGACATCTCATCATTACTAACTTTTGGCTCCCTTATTGGATTTTGGGTTTCTTCCCACCCAACCTTCATTTCCCCCATGATCAGACCAACGGTAAAGCAGCCTCATCTTCCTTTGATGCAGGAAAGATGAGCCCTAAAATTGGGGTTTAGCCAGGAGGGTTCTTGGCTTCACCCAGGAACGAGTTACAGGGCAAGCTGGCGGTGTTAGTTGCTCCCTGTGGAGCCGGGCTGACTCACAGGCAGTGTGCCCAGAGTCCACGGCATATGGGCTGTTGGCAACCATGTGGGCTGTAGGAAAGGCAAAGGACCTTTCCCAGGACCTTTAATAACTATCTTATCATTACTAACTTTTGGTTCCTAGCAAAGCTCGAGTCCTGTAGATTGCAACAATTCCACACAAAGACAACACTGGTACAGGCTTCAACCCATCCTATCCTCTGACCTGGAGAATGAAAGTGTCTGGCCTCTGGGGCCCTTAGATCAGAGATTTTCCCTCCTCTAACCTTACACAGGACCTATGCCCATGAACACAGCAGGAAGCAATCCCAGAAGACAGACCCTGCCCTTCTGCACCCCCTTAAGATTAAGGGGAAGGATCTCATCTCTGAAGAGAGGGGATGAGGTAGGAAGGTGGCAGGACTTGTTTTCTGGTCACTGACCCACTGACCAAAACAGGATCTGGGCTGGATGGGATGAAGTGGAGACAGGAATCAGGGGACGGCGAGGAGGGTGATCCCTGGCTGCCATCATTGCTCATTGGCATAAGACCCTCCCACCAGGGCCATGATGGTTTGCAAATGCCATGGCAATGACCTGGAAGTTACCACCTTTTTTCATTGCAACGACCCAGAAGTTGTCACTTCTTTTCTAGACAATTCTAAATAACCCACCCCTCAATTTGCATTGATCTCTACTTAATCTGCATGTAAAAGAAGTGGGTATAAATACAGTTGCCAACAGCCCATACACTGTGGACTCTGGGCACACTGCCTGTGAGTCAACCCCGCTCCACAAGGAGCAGCTAACACCTCCAGCTTGCCCTCAAACTCTTTCCTGGGTGAAGTCAAGAACCCTCCCGGCAAAACCCCAATTTTAGGGTTCATCTTTCCTGCATTAAAGGACAAAGGGGCAGAAAGGGTGAGGCTGCCTTACCGTTGGTCTGATCATGGGGGAAATGAAGGTTGGGTGGGAAGGAACGTAAAATCTAATAAAGCAGTTATCTGTACAGCAGCTAGACCTCTCCGAAGGAATCCTGCTTTGTGGTTTTGGCTTCCGAGGGTGTAAGTCTTCCACGTCTGCAGAATGCCGTCCTCGCCATCGAAAGGAAGAAGGTGAACTCTAAAGTGGAGACGTGAGCTGGATGGTGATGTTGGTCTCCTGTGGCTGCCATAACAAGGTGCTGCACACCACATGGCTCAGGACAACAGGCACCTGCCGTCTCAGAGGCCACAGTGTGACAGTGACGTGCAGGCAGAGTGGGCTCCTTCCACCCCCTTCTCCCACACAGTGGCTGCTGGTGGCCCTGGGTGTGCCCTGGCTGTTGGCTGCATCCCTCCAGTCTGCTCCCTCTCAGCGTGGGGCTCTTCCTCTGTGCTGGTCTGTCTGATGTCTTCTCATAAGACATCAGCTACAGGATTTAGGGCCCGCCCTAATCCAGAATGACTTCACTTTAACTCATTGCATCTGCAAAGAGCCTGTTTCCAAACAAGTTCACATTCTGAAGTTGTGGGCGGACATGTGTTTGGAGGGCACCGTTTGCCACAGGACAACTACGTATCACAGTGCTGGTGATGCAACCACACAAGTGAAATTATTTCAAGTAACTGTCTCAAAACAAAACAAAAAAAGTGTCTCGCTCTGTTGCCCAGGCTGGAGTGCAGTGACGTGGTCTCGGCTCACTGCAACCTCCACCTCCCGGGTTCCAGCAATTCTGTTTCAGCCTCCTGAGTAGCTGGGATACCATGCTGGAATAATTTCTGCATTTTTAGTAGAGATGGGGTTTCACCACGTTGGTCAGGCTGGTCTTCAACTCCTGACCTCAGGTGACCCGCCCGCCTTGGCCTCCCGAAGTGCTGGGATTACAAGCGTGAGTCACCGCGCCCAGCCTTCAGGTGACTTGTGAGCACAGCACTCACACTGTTTATACTTAGAAGGATATTCTCTGAGGATAAAAGATCATCTTGTTTTCATTTTTAATTTCTAAATAGTCACTTTGAAATGATTTCAGTCATGAAAAAAGTTACCAAAAAACAAAAACAGTGCAAAGAATTCCAGCATATCCTGTAAGTAGTTTCCCTAGAAGTTATCT
Organism: Homo sapiens; assembly: GCF_000001405.40. NCBI lineage: Eukaryota > Metazoa > Chordata > Mammalia > Primates > Hominidae > Homo > Homo sapiens. The sequence continues at coordinate 137,105 of NT_187547.1, read as the reverse complement.
CACATAGAACCATGGTGCAATGTTCAAAATTAGGAAATTAACACCAACGCAATACTGTTTTTAAAAAATTATTTGAAATGCAATACTATTAACTATCTACAGGCCCCATCCCAGTGTCTTTCTGGCCCACAGCCCAGTCCAGGACCACACATTGCATTTGGTTGTCATTCTCCCTGGCTGCCTCCCAGTGGGGACAGCTTGGAGTGTGGGGCCATTGCCCAGCACACAGCTGCTTCTCATGACTGCATTTAGGACATATCCTCTGGGCAGGACCCACAGAAGCTATGCCAGGCTGACTTCAGGGCATCTCATCAGGAGACCTATGATCTGGGCCTGTTACTGGCGTGTTAAGCTCGGTTGCTGGGAGCAGGGGTATCTGCCAGGGCTCTCTGCCACAAAGTTACATTTTCCCTTTAATTATCTTGTCGGGAGATAGTTTGAGGCCAAGAAATATCCCATTTCTCATCCTAATTTTGCCTACTAATCGCAACATCCCTCGATGATTCCTGTGTTGTTTGCCAAATGGCCATTCTCTGTTACCATCGTTCCTTCTACATTAACTGCAATTCGGAGGAGACGAGCATTTCACCCTCTTCCCCCTTATTTATCTATGCATTTATGTATGGACTTGTGGGCATTTAGCCTTATGAGTTATGAACTATTACTATAATTTTCTTTTTTGAGACAGGGTCTCGCTCTGTCACCCAGACTGGAGTGCAGCAGCATGATCTCAGCTCACTGCAACCTCTGCCTCCTGGGTTCAGATGATCCTCCCACCTCAGCCTGCTGAGTAGCTGGGACCACAGGCATGCACCACCATGCCTAGCTGATTTTTTATCTCCTGTAGAGGCAAGGTTTCACACCATGTGTCCAGGCTGGTCTAGAACTCCGGGACTCAAGCCATCTACCTGCCTCAGCCTCCCAAAGTGCTGGGATCACAGGCACGTGCCACTGCACCTGGCCCATTGGTATACTTATGTATTGTTTTGCTCCGATTATCCCAGGTTTGGCTCTGGAGCCGTGTAGATTGGTCCTGCATCCTTTTGGCCCCCCCCGCTGCCCTCTGAGCGCTCTGCCTTACTGACCACCCCCCCCCCGCTGCCCTTTGGGCGCTCTACCTTACTTTGTGGGACCACTCCATGTTCACCCGGGAACCCTCCCTGCCTCAGTGCTATCTGGGGGCCCCAGTGCCTGACCTGGAGAAAGATGTTAGTGCCCGAGATCCGGCTCTGGGGGTGCCCATGGCTGTAGGGTGTCCCTGCTCCGAGGTCCCCCAGTGGACACAGCTAAAGCCTCGGTGAGAACACACGGGCCCATGCCAGGCTCACACCCGTCTACCCAGCCGTCTACCGACACTTCCGTGCTGAAACTACAAGCTCCTACTGCCGCCTCCCCTCCCAGCCTCCCATGCTCCTTACTGGTAGCTCCCTTCTCCAGCAGCGAGGCTCGTCACCCACAGCGCGGCCGCTGGAAGGTGACCTGAGCGGCCAGACAGGGCCTCCTGCTCAGAGTTTAAAGCTCTGCTGTCGCCATCCTTAAGTTCTTAATGAGTTTTGAGCAAGGGCCCTGCAATCTCATTTCGCACCAGGTCCCGCAAATTATGTATCCGGCTCTAATTACCCACAATATGCTTGCTTGCTCAAGTCTGGAGCACACACAAAGTAATCTCATAATTGCTAACCCAGGTTGCTGTGCAAAACAGCTTCACAAACTAGGGCACAGTGTCTGCACGCCATTCTTTTTGTCTTACAGCCCATGATACTGTCTTCCAAAGCATGCGGTAGGTTTTCTTTTCCCCACTCCCTTCGATGAGGTTCACCTGTTACTGCTTATATTCCATTTCGGCTTCAAGCCCCCATCCCGGTTGATTTTAATCACTTATTTACTTTGGGGGGTGTGTGGTATATTTCTGTGGTCCTGGAAGGAACACAAAAGCTGCAGCCTCCATAATAAGGTAAGCCCACCAGCGCCTGTACCTTTGAGGACCATGAAGGGAAGGGTCTGTCTCCCTGTTCCCTCCACTAACTCCCCCCATCTCTCTGGCCCCCACTTCTCCGCAAAGTGGAAACTCCCTGGGGAGGCAGAAGACCAGGGTGGCAGGACTGCAGGCAGAGAGGGATTCCTGCCGCCCCATGGCTGGGTACCGCTGGTAGGCCACGCACACACTGGGTAAGTGTGCACTAGGCACTGACGTTAAGGGCCAGGCGTTGGTCCCTCCGTCTCACCTGCGCCAACTCAGCACAGGGAGAGAGCTGAGGCTCTGACAAGGATACAGGGCAGAGAGCAGGAAACAGCAGGGCTCAGGCTAGGGGTGGGAGCCCAGCTGCTCAGGAGTTGAAGTGCAGGCCCCCTGTGGGCACCTGGCGGACAGGAAAGGAAGGAGACTAAGGAGTGTGTTGTACTTTATCTGTACCTGGCTACGTGAGATCAGACTGTCACCCAGCATTAACTAAACCTTACAGTGGAGACAGTGGGTTGTATCACTCCCGAGAAGAAACCACAGAACGCTGTAGGAGTAATGCCTGCACCGGCTTCCCCCGCACCACACGGAGCGGCTGCCTACAGCTTTGTTAGGGGCTGAATGCAACCCCGATGCAGGCACCAGCCCTCCAGAGCAGCCTCCATGGAGGAATGCGGTTCCCCACTCTGCCCACATACCTCTCCTGCAGCAGCGCTGAACACCGTCTCCGGACGTCTGGAGCTATCACCATGGGCAACACTTTCGTGGTCTTTATTTTTAGCTTCTCCTTTAGAAACTCACTTTTTGGGGTGGTTTTGTGTCCAGAAGTTGGTGGGTTCTTAGTCTCGTCTTCAAGAATGAAGCCGCAGACCCTCGCGGTACATGTTACGGTTACCTAAAAACGGTGTGTCTGGAGTTTGTTCCTTCTGGTGCGTTCGTGGTCTACACTGATTTCAGGAGTGAAACTGCAAACCTCCGCGGTGAGTGTCACAGCTCCTAAAAATGCAGCACGTCCAGAGTTCTTTGCCCCTCCCAGTGGATTTACAGTCTCGCTGGCTTCGGGAGTGAAGCTGTAGACCTTTACCGTGAGCGTTGCAGCTCACAAACGCAGCACAGACACAAACACTGAGCAGCAGTAAGATTTACTACGAAAACCAAACAAGGAAAGCTCCCAGAGGACAAAAGCAGACCCTAACAGGTTGCCACCGCTGGCTCCCGCAGCCTGCTTTTATTCCCTTATCTGACCCCACCCACATCCTGCTGACTGGTCCATTTTACGGAGAACTGATTGGTCCATTTTACAGAGAGCTGATTGGTCCATTTTACAGAGAGCTGATTGGTCCATTTGGACAGGGTGCTCATTGGTGCATTTACAAACCTTTAGCTGGCTACAGAGTGCTGATTGGTGTGTTTACAATCCTTTAGGTAGACAGAAAAGTTCTCCAAGTCACCACCGGAGCCAGAAGCCCAGCCGGCCTCACCTCTCAGTAGCACTCCCTTTAGAACTTTGCAGCATCTACCCTGGGCACTCCGGCAGCCCAGAGGGAGCTCATCCCCAGATCAAGCCCAGCAGGCGTCGGCGGGCCAGCCAAGCCTGCACCCACCCGGAACCCGCGCCGCCCGCGAGCGCTGCGCTCAGCCCCCGCTCCCGCCCGCGCCTCTCCGCCAGCAGAGGGAGCTGGCTCCAGCCTCGGCCAGCCCCAGAGAGGGGCCCCACAGCGCAGCGGCAGGCCGAAGGGCTCCTCAAGCACGGCCAGAGCCGACACGGAGGCCCAGGAAGCGCCGAGAGCCAGCGAGGGCTGCTGGCACGTTGTCACCTTTCAGTTTCACAATATCCCAAGATGCATTAGTAGTTTCTGTAGCCTGAGTGTTAGTGGCCCCCAAAATTGATAGGTTGGAACCTAATACCCAATGTGATGGTGTTAACAGGTGGGACCTTTGGGAGGTGAGTAGATCACGAGGGCTGTGCTCTCACGAATGGCATGAGTGGCCCGGGTAGAAGAGGCTCCAGGGAGCTCCCTCGCTCTGTCCACCCTGAGCCTTGTCAAGAGGCGCCGTCTTGGAAGCAGAGGGCTGCCTCATGGGACGCCACATCCGCCAGCACCCTGGTCTTGGACTTGCAGCCTCCAGGACTGTGAGCAATAAATGTCTGTTGTTGACAAGTGGCTCAGGCTTAGGCGTGTTGTCACAGCAGCCCGAATGGACTCCAGCAGCAGAGCAGCCAGGGCTGCACGTGGTGCGTGAACACACCCGCCGCCCTCCTCCTCCTGGGGCATATGACGGCTGCGCAGCTCTGTGTATCCAGTTTCTGGGCTGTTCCATGCCCCTATTCCCCTGATTGCTATGTTCTCCAGCTGAAAGAGCACACTGATTTTGCCTTCAGCCCACTCTCATTTTCCCCCAGATTTCACTAAGTGATTTTGCTAAGTGATGGCTGTGCTTCCCCTGTGCGCTTCTCTCTGGCTGGTTTCTACTCCGGATCCACTAGTGGGGCCAGAAAGAGCAGTAGGAAGGAACCTGAGGTTCCTGTCCACCATCAGGCATGTGCACACCTACACCCACACACCCCTGCACTGTGCACACCCACACACACTTGCACACCCACCTGTGCACACGTACATCCATACACACATGCTCACCCCTACATGGACACCCACACACGTGCACGTGCCCATACACATGCACACCCATGCACACACCTGTCTGTGCACACCCCACACCCATGCATGCCGGCACACACCCATGCACATCCACACACAGGCACATACCCACACACACGTGCACACCTCACACCCATGCATACCTGCACACGCTTGCACACTCACCTGTGCACACACATCATACCTGCATGCACACCCCCACACGCACACCCACACACCTGTGCACACACCCATACACATGCATGCCCACACCCACATGTGCACACACCGTACATACCTGCACACACCCACGTATGCACATGGTCAACACTCACCCACTCAGGCACTCTTACATGCACACACGCACACAGACATGGCCACTTTCATGGACACACACCCACACACGCCCACATATACACGCATGCCCACCTAAACCACTCACTTGACCAAATAGCTTTTCAGGAGAGCGCCTGGTCCTGAAGCTTTCTAGGCATTTCGGTAGCCAAACCCTCTTGATCGTGTGGTTCCAGAAAAAGCCAGTGCGGCACCCACTTACCCGTACTGCAGCCACCGTGGTCCCGGGAAGAGGGCTTGCTTCCGCAGAGCTAATGAGGGAAGCGGTCTCTGAGAGTAGAAGGGAGGCCTCGGAGGGAGGTGGTCTCCAAGAGTAGCCGGGAGGCCTGGGAGGATGGTGGTCTCCGAGAGTAGCAGGGAGGCCTGGGAGGGTGGTGGTCTCCGACAGTAGCAGGGAGGCCTGGGAGGGTGGTGGTCTCCGACAGTAGCAGGGAGGCCTGGGAGGGTGGTGGTCTCCGACAGTAGCAGGGAGGCCTCAGAGGGAGGTGGCAGAGCAGGCTCTGCTCTCAGGAAGTGCCCCGTGGGTGGCGACGGGCCGAGAGGTGCTCTGGGGGACGAGTTATGGCTCTGAGCTGCCCGTGCAAGGCAGGGAGGCTGCGTTTTCATGCGTTCACACCTCAGTCCCTGGGTAAGGACCTCCCAGGATGTACCTCCAGCACCCCGGTCATGCAGAGGCCTGGGAAAGCCTGTTGAGGCTGGAGGGGTGGGGGCACATTGGTGTGTTGGGGGACCTGTGTCGTGGGCACGGCTCCCCGTTTAGGGAAGGCACTGCGGTGATCACGCACTACCAGTAAGTATTTCAGAGCCCAAAACGCGAAAACAAATGGAAGAAGTTCCATGTCATAGTGAGTCTTGGCTGGGCGCAGTGGCTCACCTGTAATCCCAGCACTTTGGGAGGCTGAGGCGGGCAGATCACTTGAGGTCAGGAGTTTGAGACCAGCCGGGCCAACATGGTGAAACCCTCTCTCTATTAAAAATACAAAGCTACTCGGGAGGCTGAGGCAGAAGAATTGCTTGAACCTGGGAGGTGGAGGTTGCGGTGAGCCAAGATGGCGCCACTGCACTCCAGCTTGGGCAACAGAGTGAGACTCCATCTCAAAAACAAAAAAGAAAAACAAATAAAAATACAAAAATTAGCTGGGTGTGGTGGCGGGCGCCTGTAATCCCAGCTACTCGGGAGGCTGAGGCAGGAGAATCGCTTGATCCCAGGAGGTTGTAGTGAGCCAAGATGGCGACATTGCACTGTAGCCTGGGCGATGGGGTGAGACTCTGTCTCAAAACAAACAAATAAACACACACAGAAAACAGTGAATGTTTTTATTACAAATAATAAATGTTTGCTTTTACATACCACACCTCATTTCCCCAGGGGTTCCTGAGCACCCCCCCCCAACCCCCTGCTCACCCTCCTTCATTCTCTCCACAGTGTTTGAGGCATATTTTGTGCCAGGCCCCTCCCAGGGCTGCTAACAAGAAAATACAAAATAAAAATGGCAGAGAAGCGAGTGCCTCCCGCGTATGGCAATGCCAGCCATGAGCCAAACGGCTGAACAGAGTCCACATCTCCCTCCGGGTTTCCGGGGTCCCCTGCTCAGGCCTCACCAGTGCAGCGCGGACGTCAGACCGCTACCGTCTCACTCAAGGCTCCCGTGGGCCAGGGTCCACCTGGGTTCTGCTCCTTGGGATATTGGCAGGATCCCGGGCCCTGCTGCTGTGGACTCGGGACTTCACTTCCTTGCTGGTCAGAGGCTGCGTGAGCTTCCAGAGGCCACCTGCTGTTCGTGTCACCTGGGGCTCCCCGGCCCAGCCATGTGCTTCCTCAAAGCCACAGGGGAGGGCCAGGTTCCAAAGAAATGGGCATTGCAATCCTGTGTAACACAATCACATTCCTCCACTCCACTTTGCTGTGTTCTGTGGGTTAGAATATGGTTATCGCCGGGACACCAAACAAGGGTGTCACCAACAGGAGGTGGGGGGCCTTGGGAGTATGGCTACCACACAGGAGGAAACGACAGCTCCACTCCATCACTGAACCTGAGCTCAGCAGTGGCTTTGAGTGTCCTGGCAGCCACGCAGGAAAGGGACTCTGCTCAGAACACACATGCAGAAGCAGGACACACTCCTGCTCTCAAGCCCAGCGCTGAGCCCATCAGCGCTGAGCCCATCAGCGCTGAGCCCATCAGGGGCAGGTGTCCTGGGCCTCCGGTCTCAAGGGCATCATTTCTGTGCAGGCAACAGTCACTGGGCTGTCCTTTCACGCCCTTTGGACACACAGACAACACAAGTGGTTCCCAGAAGCCCTCTGTGTCCTGTCAGGTGGTGACAGGTGGGGGTGGCTGTCCTGTGTCCTCTCAAGTGGTGACAGGTGGGGGTGGCTGTCCCCTCTGTCCTCCGTGGTGGTGACAGGTGGGGGTGACTGTCCTGTATCCTGTCAGGTGGTGGCAGCTGCAGGTGGCTGTCCTCTGCATCATGACCCCACCTGTGTCATGGCAGGGCCAGGCTCATCTCCAGAAACCTCAGGTCAGTGATCCCTACGGATGCCTTTTTACATCATGTCAGAATCTGGAAAGTCTGTTTTATTTCATTATCTGAAATACTTTTAAGAGTGGTAACGGTAGCATTAGACTGATAGTTACATGGATCTGGGACATCTGTGGCACTGGTGCATAAACATCTGAGCCATTTCCATCATTTAACTTGTCCAATCCTTTCAACAGCCTTCTGTGCTGGGCGCGATGACTGCTCTCTGCACAGATGAGTAAACTGAGGCACAGGTGCCTGGACCCTTGCCAAAAAGTGAGGGAGCCAGAGATTCTAACCCAGGGCCCAGCCCTGAGTCTCACCCCTGCCCTCTCCCATCTGCCTGTCCCTCCACAACCCCGATGCCCGACCCTGGGTGGAGAAAGTACAGGGAGGGTCTGCAGCTGCCCAGCTGCAGTGTCCAGTGTCCTGGCGACAGGACCCGGAGCAAACCAGGCCTCGGCATGGGCACGGGATGAACTCAGGGCACCGGTGGGGTGTTGGCCGTTTCTGGGTAACAGACCTACAGGTGATGTCTTTTCCTCTTCTTTCTAAGCTTTAAAAATTACCATTGTGATTAATAGAACTTTTTAGAATTTTAGATACAGTTTCTCTGTGTGAACAAGGCTTAAAGGATATGAGAATGTTTCTGTAGCTTACAGGTCATAATACTATCTTTGAATACACAAATTGAAAAGCCACTTAAATATTAACCTTTGATTCTGAACCAGGATGAGCTTAACGATGGGGACCTGCAGGGCGTGGCCGGCTGGAGCCCATGGCCAGCAGCCATGGCTGAGGGCATACTTCAAAACGGTCATTTCTGTCCCACTAATACTGTGTAAATATGTATGCCATCCAATTTTTAACCAAATAAAATGTTCTGTCTGACGGGTCCCTTCATCTATATGACAAACAGTTTTAAGTAAAGAGGATCTCAGCTTGCAGAATAAGTAAAATTGTTTAAATTCTAGATAAATGTGTTCAGTGCTTGATGGGCTAATGCTGGCTGGATTTGTGAAGGTCAGTCATATACATGAAAATTCTTCTGCATTCACCTTAGAAGAGCGATATTTTTAGGCGAACAGAGCTTGCGATATTTTCTTTCCGTGCCACCTGCCCGCTTGGTGTCTGGCCCTGCGTCCTCAGAGGACCATGGTGGGCTGGTGTTCTTGGAGAGGAGGCCTCTCCAGGGCCACCAAGAGGGGGCTGTGGCCCAGGCTGAGCTCTTCTAGTGGCATGAGGGACACGCTTTATTCATGTGAGCGTTGTGAGGTGGGAAGGGAGGCCAGCCAGGGGAAGGGTAGAAGAATGCCTGTTGCTTGGGTCGGAGGCTCGATGGACTTTCACTGCTGGACATAGTGTGAACATGGGAGACGCAGGTTCAGCGATCACGTTTCACTTTCCCATTCCCCGGACCTCAAACTCAGGCCTGTGTAACTAAAGGTTCTGTGCTGCCAGGCTGGGCGTTTCCCCCAGGGAAGGCACGAGAGAGCGAATGCAGGGCCGGCCGCGGGGCCTGGGGACTGTGCCGCTCAGCACCACCCACAGGGCGTTCCTTGGGGCGTGGCCTGGGCCGGGGCGGTAGGATCCCTTGGACAGGGCCGTGTCTGGCTCACAGGAAGCTGCCCTCATGGAACGGGGTGCAGTGGGGTGTTCGTGGTCCTGCTGCCGTTGGCTGGGCGCAGCCATCCCTGCCGGCTCCCCCGCGCCTGTGCCCCGGGCCCTACTGCACCTGCACGGGCGGGGCTCTGGGGCCGGCGCGGGGAGTGAGGCCGCCGGTCTCCTCTGCTGTGGTCGGTGTGGGGGCCGGCGGGGCGCAGAGCTGCTCACCCGGCTGACTCCCCCTTCTGCCCTGCTGGCCTCTGAGCCGGTTCTCTGGGGCCTCTGTGAGCGCCTTGTGCCCCCCACACCCGCCGTGAGTACCGTGTCTCTCTGCTCAGCCAGGTGGGCGCCTCTGCTGCTGCTGTTGCCACCGAGTGACTGACTGACGCAGCGACGCAGCCACCGACACCCAAACACTGGAGCGTTTTACCCAAATGTAAAAGTCTAAACTTCCGGCTTCTCGAACAAAAGAAAACAAAGGAAAACGTCAGACGCCCCGTTGACGCCGGGCGCGCGTGGCCGCGGCCGAGCCGCTCTTCAAAGCCGGCAGCGTCTGGTCTGGCCTGGCTCCGCCAGCTGCCCGCAGGTCCTGTCCTCGTGGCTTTCTGCCCTGTCCTCCCTGGCCGGCTGCACTGGCTTCTGTGACGCTCGCTCCTTGCTGCGCAAGTGCAGGTGCAGCACCTTAAAGGCTGAGTGCGTCCCACACAGCGGGGCTGGAGCTCGGCACCTTCAGTCCACCCCAAACACCGCCCTCCCGCTGTGCACGGCCACTGCTGCCCCTCCTGCACCCCGACACATGGGGAGCTGGTCTGAGCCTGCCCCACCTGCTCTCCTGTGATCTCCCCTCTGCCACCCCCATCTCGCGCTCCATACCCCTTCCTCAGACCTCCTTGCCTGGGGCTGCTCTCCCCAACTCAGCAGAGCAGGGCTGGCCAGTACTAAGGACAGGGGCGACCACTGGTCCCCAGAAATCCTGAATCCAGGAAACCCCTCAGTCCGGGGCAGACCGGGATGGCCGACCACCCTGACTAGGGGAGGGCCGTCAGAAGTCTTTGACCCTGATCTAAGTTCTCTCTGCTTTGCTGAGTCTCTTTCTGTCTCTCTCCTCCTCTCCCTGTCTGAATGTCTGCCTGCCTCTCTCCCACACACATCTGAGACACAGGTCTCACAGAACCGCCCTTGCCCTTCTGTCTGTCTGTCTGCCTGCCTCTCTCTCACACACACACCTGAGACACAGGTCTCACAGAACCGCCCTTGGCCCTCTCTGCCAGGAGGGTGGTTCTCGGAGGTTCCCATCCTCTGTGGGGATGCTGACAGCTGTGGGTCATGGCTGGTGCCGCGGTTCTCACTCTTGGCTGCAGAGAGCAGCTGGGGGCTGCAGGTCAGGCCACACCTAGCTCCCCATGGCCCTGGTTCACTTAAGTGACAGGCTGGGGTGAGGGGAGGAGGAGGCCAGGGTGTGACCGTCGGTTCCATTTCTGCTTTCCCCCAGCTCCCCAAGTCAGGCACCGGCACAGTGGCAGTTGGTTTGTGGGACACCCATCTGTCAGTAGGGCATGAGTATCCTTGGCTCTGTCCTGCTGAATCATGGGTCCTGGCTGTGGCGCCAGGGCCAGCTGTGTTTGTGATCTGGTGCATCCTCAGGAGAAGGAGAGCAGGCGAGGCGCCAGGGAATGTAGGATTTGCTGATGAATTGTGTTTCAAAAAAGGTGGCTTTTTTTCTGTTGTCAGACTTCAGGAAACAGGTAGAGGCTGTGACCTTTGGGCCAGTCAAATGAATCTACAGAGATTAAAGGAGGATTGTGGAGTGAAAACCAAAAAAAGCCAAACATAGAGGAATCCGTTTACCCTTTCAGCCACGTATTTCGCTGTTGCCGAACCTTTATTAAAATGCTTCTCTCAAAGGAAAAATTGTATAGTTTTTTCAGGCTTCAAAAACCCAGGCCATGTGTCTAAAGGTCACTTGACGAACAGCACAAATCCCATGGTAAAGGGCAGGGTGCGGAGGGGTGAGCCTCCCATCCAGCACCAAAGCGGGCTCTGAGGGCTTATCCCTCCCAGGGAGTCCAGCACCAAAGCGGGCTCTGCGGGCTCATCCCTCCCAGGGAGCTTGGGTTCTGCACAAACAGTGTCAGAAGAAAAGACTTCTTCAGACATTTTGAAATTAACATTTCATTTGTATTAAACAGCCCAACCCTCCTTGGAGAGCAAGTACTAAATACAGCATCCACACAGTCAGCCCTGTAGGGGAATTTGAGATTGGACCAGAATGGCAGACTTGTACATGTCATCCAGGACCTTCCACCCATCCATCTGCACATCTATCTATCCCTCCACCTACCCATCCACTCATCCATTCCTCCATCCATCTATCCATCCACCCATGCTTCCATGCATCCATCCATCCACACATCCATCTGTCCATCCACCCAAGCATCCATCCATCCATGCATCCATCTATCCATCCATTCATCCGTTCATCCATCTATCTATCCATCCCTCCAACCGTCCATAACCTACCCACACATCCATTCACCCATCTACCCATCCATCCATCCATCCATTCATCCATCCACAAATCCACTTGTCCATCCATCCATCCATCCATAACCTACTCACTCCCCACATCAACCCATCCACCCACACACCACCTATTCATTCATCCATCCATCACATACCCACCCACCCGTCTATCCATCCATCCATCATCAACCCATCCACTCACCTACCCATTCATCTATCCACCCATCCATGCATCTATTCATCCAGCCATCATCTGCCTGCCCATCCATCTAACTATCCATATATCCATCCACCCAACCGTAATCAACCATCCATCCACCCAGCCATCTACACACCCCCTTTCCCTCTCACCCTCCCTCCCTATCTCCCTTTCTTCTTTCTTTTGTCCATCAATACATCCATTCATTTACTCATCCATCTATCCAACTATCCACTCATCCATTTATTCATCCAACCATCCACCACTCATCCATTAACCCACCTGTGCATTCATCAATCTATTTATCCCTTTCTCTCTCTCTCACCCTTTTCTCTCTCTCCTTTCATCCATCCCTCCCTTCTTCTGTCCATCCATCCAGCCTTCCATCTATCCATTCATCCCTTATCTATCCACCCATTTATCCATCCACCCGCCCCTTCACCCACCCATTCATTCATCCATCTGTAAACATATTAAATGCCACTGCCTTCCATGTACCAGGCCTGTTCAAAACACTGGCAGAAGCGAGTGAGACTAACTCAGTTCCTGCTGGGACAAGAGACAATGGGCCATCTGCCTTCAACAGAACACCTGCTAGGGAAGACCTGGGGAGAATGGGGGTTTCAAGGAACACTGGCCAAGGGCCAGAACCCAGAAGCTGGAGTGGGAACAGACTTTCAGTGGTGATGTCTATGGGAAGCTGACATGGCATAGGAGCTAGTGGGTTAAGGTTGGAAAGTTCATGGTGAGAACAGAAAGAAGGTAGTTCCAGATGAGGGAACAAGAGGAAGTACAGGATGGGAAGGAGAGTGAAGCCTGGGAAGGCATCCCAAGGGCCGGGAATGTCTCAGGTACCCAAAGGCCCAGGCAGGATGGACCTGCTTTCTCTAATGCCCTGGGGACGCCCACCACAAACGGGGCACTTGAAACAACAGAAGTTTATGGTCTCACCGCTCTGGAGGCCAGAAGTTTGAAGTCACAGTGTTGCCAGGGTTGGTTCCTGCTGGAGGCTCTGGGGCAGCATCTGTTCCATGTGTGTGTCTCCAGCCCCTGGTGATGGCTGGCAGCCCTCTGTGAGTCTTGGTTTGCAGGTGCATCTCTTGATGTCTGCCTCCGTAGTCACACAGAGGTCCTGTCCTGGTCTCTGTTTCACTGTGTCTCTTTTCCCCTTCCCAGGACACCAGTGGTGTTGGATTCAGGGTCTCAGTGTCTCTCCTCTCCTCTTATAGAGTCCCTGTCATATTGGATTTAGGGCCCACCCTACTCAGGTATGACCTCGTCTTATCTAATCGCATCTGCAACAACCTTATTTTCACATAAGGAGTCAGGACTTCAGCCTTCTCAGGGGATACAGTTCGACCTTTCCCACCGCCCCACCAGCCAGTGCCGCAGCTCACGGGCCCTTCCTGCCGTGAGCGTCCACTCAGTGCTGGCCTTTCTGCTGCTCCCAGTCTCGGCTTTTATGGCCACTGCACACGCCTCTCCATGTGTCTCTGTCAGGCACACAGAGAGAACTGTGGGGCTTGTGATTGTCTCCCTTAGGCTGGAATCCTGCAGACTCTTGAGTGGAGATTGTTGTGCTCCTGAATCACTGGGACTCACAGGAGAAAACCAGGAGAGAGCGGGAAACAGGCCAAGGGAAGGGAGAGGCCGGAGCAGACATGGTTTCAGGTGGGGTCCAGTGGTCCTAACGGGGACTCTGGACATATATCAGACTGCAGGTCAGGATGGGGGCTTTGACCTCAAGGTGGTCAGGGTCTGGCCCTGGGCCACCCTGGCACAGGCTTCAATCCCAGGGGCCCCTGGACGAGGGCCCAGCTGCCCAAGGCAGGCCCTGGGGGCTCCAGGTGTGAGCTGTTAGGGCGGCAACTGCAGCGGGGGTGGTGGCCACCCCCAAGGGTAAGGGGCATCCTATGTGACAATGGGGAGGGTAGGAGCAGCAGTAAGGCTGCAGGCAGGTTCAGCCCTTGTCGTTTTCCTGCCATGGAGTTCACTCACCCACCTGAAAGCTGCGAGTGTCCTTCCTGTCCACACGCAGCCACACAGGGGCTCAGACTTTCCAAAGCCCAGCTGCTGTGATGGGTGTGCTGCCACATTACGTGGTGGCTGACTGCATTTCCATGACAACTGGTGAGGTTGGGCCTCTTTTCATAGGTTTGTTGGCCACTTGGGCACTTTCCCTTGCTGGCAGTCATTCAAGGTCTCTGTCCACTTTTCTGATGGGGTGTCTGCCTCTTCCCTATGGACTTGTGGAGTTCCTTCTACATTCAGGGTGTAAGTGCCCCTCCCTCACCTGCTCCCTCAGGCACTCCCTGAGTAAATCACTCGGCACGAGGACCCCGTGTGCACCTGCAGTATGCTGTTCCGGTTGCCTGCAGAGCCTGCAAGCTCGCCAGCGGCCAGCGGGCATGGGGCTGGTACCAGATGCCATCCACAGCTCACACGCCAGAGAGGCGGGATCCCACATGTGGCTCCTCACTCCTCCCTGCTCGAGGACTGCCGTGCCTTTGTTTTGGGGCTGGGGAATGTCCTCAGCTGGTTCTTCCCCCAATGCCCTGATCCTGGGCTCACATGTGACCGGTCCCTGCAGACCCCACACCTCTGAGAAAGGCTTCAGTGGCATGGGCCTAGGCTGGACCACGACGCACTCAGCAAAGCCCAGCTGTCTCTGTGACCAACGGCCATCTGGGCCGGCCCCTGCTGCCGAGCTGCTGGGACCACAGGCAGAGGAGACCCACCTGGCAGAGGAGACCCACCCAGCCCCGGAGCCCACCTCTCCGATTGCTGGGGCTTAATACAGTCGCCCATGAGGCTGTCGGAGTCCTTCAAGTCTCAGCCCACATAGTGACTTATGGCCACCCACACAGTATCTGCCTGGACCCCAGACCTGAGTGGTCAGCAGGGATCACACCTGGGGGCTCCAGGTGTGAGCTGTTAGGGCGGCACCTGTAGCAGGCGGGGTGTAGCCACCCCTGAGGGTAAGGGACATCCTATGTGACGATGGGGACGGTGGGAGGCACTAGTTAGGCTGCAGGCAGGTTCAGCCCTTGTAGGCAGCCCAGCACTTTTCCTGCCACAGAGTTCACTGACCCAGCTGAAAGGTGCGAGCGTCCTTCCTGTCCACACGCAGCCACGTGCTACGATGCAGCAGTAGCAGTGTCCCCATGTGCTGCCAGGCACAAAGCCCTCGGTGTGGGGTGTGCCCTCAGGCAGTTCGGGGCAGGGCTGCAGGTGGGGCTGGCGGGAGTGACGCTTGTCTTATCACAGGTCACTGCCTGGAAGGGGTGCTGCCATCCTATCACAGGTCATGCTGAGGGCATTGGCATTTACTCCAAGCACCAGGATAACCCTGGGGTTTCCTTGGGCTGTGGCCTGATCTGTTGGTATCTAGAAGAATCCTTTAGGCCACAGAGCGACGAAAGATGCTTGGACTGAGGACCAGGACCCACCAAGATCTGGGATGGGGCTTGGAAGAGGCTCTTGGGTTGGGCAGTGGCAGTGGTCAGGCAGTGTGGTTGGAGTCTGGACATGTGGGGAGCCCACAAGAATGCTGAAAGGCAGGTGAGGGGCTGGGGGAGAGCGGTGCAGGATGGCACGGAGGTCCAGCCTGAGCAAGTGGGCACGACATAAGGTGCCACAACCTGCCACAGGGGACCCTGCAGGAGTGCAGACGTGGGTGAGGGTCACCACTGCACCCAACACTGTGTGGGAGCCCAGGGAAGGGGAAACAGATCACACCCAGCACACCTGCGTGGGAGCCTGGGGAGGGGGACAGGTCACACCCAGCACACCTGCGTGGGAGCCTGGGGAGGGGGGACAGGTCACACCCAGCACACCTGCGTGGGAGCCTGGGGAGGGCGACAGGTCACACCCAGCACACCTGCATGGGAGCGTAGTGGATGTGTTATCTCTAACGTCTAGGCTTTAGGGGAGGCCGGAAGGAGAGATGGGCCAAGAGGCATCAGGTGAGGAAGCTTTGCTGTGGGTGGGCTGGGGTGGGGCAGAAGCTGACCTCGGGGTGTGAGCAGGTGAGCTGGGCCTGTGTAAATGGATGGGGCCCAGCGGAAACGAGACAAGGAGGCTGAGGCAGTTTTTCCATTGTGGATGTCTTTTATTGTGCTTAGGGACCCACACGATGCTGAATAGAGATTGGTCAACAGACACGGACAACACCTGGGTTGCTACACGGAGCCCCTCCCCAGAAGGCGATGGGGAAGCCGCTCTCTGTGCTGACTGCAGCAGCCAGAAGGCGATGGGGAAGCTGTCCTCTGTGTCCCTCCCCAGAAGGCAATGGGGAAGCCGCTCTCTGTGCTGACTGCAGCGGCCAGAAGGCGATGGGGAAGCCGTCCTCTGTGTCCCTCCCCAGAAGGCAATGGGGAAGCCATCCTCTGTGCTAACTGCAGCTGCCTGGCAGTTCACAGGCTGACGGCTCCCACCGAGCATTACACTCCAGTCCCTGGAGCCCACGTCCACTTGCAGGGGACAGCCATGACTGGCCCTGCACGGCCCCTGCCCTCGGGCAGCACGTAGGCAGGCCCACCGACTTGAGGCATGAATTCAAACTATGGCATCCACTTTCCTGTCAGTGGCAGAGGGCAGTGTGCCATGGAAAGCAGCTTTTGGCCAACATCCTTCACTCAGTATTGCTAATTATTCTTGTAAACAAAAACTGCAATATCAGCAAGCAGGCTCGCGGATACTGCATTCTTGAATTTGTTTTGATTCACAGGTAAATATGATTTTAAAAAGCCATTCGCAAACATAAAAACTGTTGTTATTGATGTGGCACGCACCTGAGAGAAATAAAATTCCAGTGGGGTCCCTTCCTGGAGGTCACGGCTCAAGGCCAGGCAGAGTGTGGTCTGCAGGCTGCCTGCATGGGGGCCCTGCATGCGTCCTGGGGTAGTACACGCTCCTGTGGGGGCCCTGCATGCATCCTGGGGTAGTACACGCTCCTGTGGGGGCCCTGCATGCGTCCTGGGGTAGTACACGCTCCTGTGGGGGCCCTGCATGCGTCCGGTCCGGGGATAGGACACGCTCCTGTGGGGGCCCTGCATGCGTCCTGGGGTAGTACACGCTCCAGTGGGGGCCCTGCATGCGTCCTGGGGTAGTACACGCTCCTGTGGGGGCCCTGCATGCGTTCTGGGGTAGTACACGCTCCTGTGGGGGCCCTGCATGCGTCCAGGGATAGGACATGCTCCTGTGGGGGCCCTGCATGCGTCCGGGGATAGGACACGCTCCTGTGGGGGCCCTGCATGCGTCCGGGGATAGGACACGCTCCTCTCAGGCCGTTCCCTACACCGCAAGGACCCACAGGCTGCCTGAGTGGCAGTAGCCTGAGCTGGTTTCAAGGAGTTTTATTTCTCTCTGCTGCAAGAACATAAACAGAATTTCCTGGTGAGACATACCAGGACCCCCATCCTCCAATGCCTCTGAACAGACTGTGTGTGCAATGTGTCAACTGAACGCTCAATTTACGGCCTCTGCTGGGAGCCACGCATCGGGAAAGGACTTTGCATGAATTTGTGGTTTCCTCCATTTCACCTTCTGCACAGCTAAACCAAGCAGGACACTTGGCTTTTTAATATGGGCAAAGTAAATGGTCTAGGAAGCTACTGTGAGCACGGGGATTCTCAGCAGGTGCGTCTACAAGGATCGTGATCCCCGCCTGAGAACACAGTGCCCCTGGGGCAGCCTCAGAGCCGGGAGCAGGGAGCAGGGAGGGAGGGAGCCTCACACAGACAGCATGAAGTTAGACGTTTTTCTGCCCTGCAGGGACAACAACGGGGTGGACCTCGCTGCACAGATCTACGTCGTTATTACAGCAACACAAGACACGGCGAGGTGCGCTCCCGGCACGGAAAGGTGTAAACAGTCAGAAGAGAGGAGTCTTCTGCTTTGTTGTTTGTGTTTTCAGTAGAGGTTGAAGAGTAGAAGTTGCCCTCCTTTCTCTCGAAACTTAGATTTCCTTGGTTTGTTCGTGTCTCTCCCATTGCAGGATGACTTCCTGGGGTCTTCGTCTCTGCTCCCTCTACACCTTGAGCCAGTGGCGGAGCTGGAAAGAAAACAGGTTTAGTCAGAAACCCTGGGGCGATGCCCCATTTAAGAGCAGCTGAAGGTGGCTAAGAGCAGCTGAAGGCAGTGAGCAGACAGTTTGCAGCCTCCTGGCCATGTGCCCTGGGAGAAGGGGAGGCTCACTGGGGGCCTGGACCAACACACCCTTGACAGGTGCCGGGGATCCGATGCCTCACTCAAACTCCTACAAATCAATCATTACTTGATTTTTTAAAAAGCCGCGAGACTGTGGTTGGCGTGGTGGCCATGGTGGCCTCTGGGGCGTATTGATCAGATGCTGAGTCTGAGAGATGCCGGGCACCCTCAGTCCGGGGCTGGTTCCAGATTGTACCCCAGCGACTTGGGTGTGACGTGGTGATGTCACCTCTCCCCCACGTCCCTCCACCTTCCTGGGGGCCTCAGATGCTCCATCTGAGTGACACGCTACCTCTGCAGCTCCATCTTGCTCTCTGCGACCCGCGCGGGCGCAAGTGCAGCGTGTACTGACTGCTCAGGGACTGATGAGATAGACAAGAGCAGCTATTTACACCACCAGCAAATGTCATCGCCTGCTATTATGCAGCTGTTAGTTCAGCCTGTTTGTGAGCGTCAAAGCCCCTCGATAGCACTAAATGGCAAGAAGTGTGCTTCATAAACATTTCCAAACAGGGGCATGCGGGGCTTGCTTCTGACAAAACCACGCCGGCCATGGAAAGCCACTGAAGCTACCACTGGCCACACCACAGGCTCCTCTGGCCACTCCACCAAGAGCCTGCAGGGACCTCCTCAGCCAGGGTGGGATCACACTGCAGGCCAGGGGTCTACCGGGGGCCTGGAGCAGCCACAGCTGATGCCGGCACAGGCAGCATCCAGGTGCAGCTCGGGGCTCAGTGAAGGAAGCTGGGGTCAGGGAGCCCGGCCAGGACCCACAGCCACGGGTGGCCCAGCGGCCAGAGCCCTAGAGCAGAGGCTCTGGGTGGCAGCCCCACTTCAGGCCAGCGATGAAGAAGCCATGCTTGGGACTTCAGCTGTGAGTCCTGTTCCCCCCAGGGTGAAGCAGTTCTCTGTCCTGCCCGCTGACAGAAGCAGAAGGTCCCCTCTGGAGGGAGGTGTGCTTGGGGGCTCCCAGATTCCCACAGATTAAGATCAAGCCATAAATGTAAAATAAAGACTAGAAACAGAAGACAGCAGCCCACTCTAAGTGAGTCCCCAGAAACCAGACCTCAATTTGACCCCAAAGGACCAGAGCTGTTGCAACAGATTACAGGATGGCCACATAGGGGACTCTCAGAAAAGTGACACACGCACATCACAGTGATGAGAATTTCACAAGAAACAGCAGAGCACACGCAGCTTCCAGAGATGAAGTAGAAAAGAGAATGGCTGGGCTGCAGACCAGGGGCAGGGCAGTGGAATGCGGAGCGTCCATAGCTGAGCTGTGGTTTGTTCACGTGACGGACGGTCAGGGACCAGTCACGGTAGGTGAAACGTAGCTATGGATACAAACATTTCTGACCTAGATGGAATAATAGGGATCGAATTTACCCTACTGTCCGAAACAAGCCCCAAATAAACAAAACACACGTGCCGATGACCTTCCAGACCATGGACACCAGACCGTAAGGGTCAGTGGTCCCTGAGGGAAGCCAACAAGGAGGCCCCCCTGCCACCCTGCTCGCTGCCTCGAGGGAGTTTCTAGATTGCAGCACAGGGAGGGTGCAGCCTGGTGGACTCCCTGAGCTGAGACGCTGGAAAGGAGAGCGAGGGAAACGGAGGTGGCTGCAGTTTGCAGGCCAGAGCGCCAGAGAGGAGGTGGCCACACAGAGAGAAGACCCGGGACAATGGCCCAGGACCCCTGCTGAGGGTTCAGACGAGCACATCCCGCTGTGAATGAGGAGGCTGGGGAGAGATCCGCCGACAGGACCAGAGGGAACCACCTCTGATGCCCACACAGGGCTGGGCACGGTGCCTGTTCCCCCAGCCAGGAGAATGTCATGATTCTCGGGGATCTGCATGGGGTGTGCATAAGGTCTTGCTTCAGTAGGGGTTGGTTAGGGCTACACCAAATGCTGAAGCCAAATAATACACTTTTTAGGAAGCTAGAAATATCTAGAGATGCAACAAATGAAATTGTAAGAAGGGCAAGGGAAAGATCAAGCTAGACGCAGATACAGAATGGGTGAGGGGCAGGCAGTTTCCACAGTGCCTAGTTTTCCTGCTGTGGGCTCACAAGGGTCTGTTTGTTACGGTGACAAATTAATAATTTAAAAATGGCCACATGTGGATTAATGATAAGATGCGTTACTCAACTGTGCACCTAAGATTCAAATGAAAACAAAATCTAAGTGAGGTAAGAGACCTGGAGGACCTGGGGCAAAGTGGACACACCAGAGCCTCATAATGGAAAACACAGAAAGGCAGAAGGCAATCTTTCAGTGTGTGGCTGCAAAATTCACAGAATGACAAGATTTGTGAATCCACAGATCTGGCCACAAAACATATCCAGAGAGGAAAAATAAAAAGAAACCAAATTAACGGTGGTGGGTGCCTGCAGTCCCAGCTACTCGGGAGGCTGAGGCAGGAGAATGGCGCGAACCCGGGAGGCGGAGCTTGCAGTGAGCCGAGATTGCGCCACTGCACTCCAGCCTGGGCTACAGAGCGAGACTCCGTCTCAAAACAAACAAACAAACAAACAAACAAACAAAAAAGAAACCCAGGTCCCGACACTCCGCAGTGAACCCGAGACACCGAAAGCAGAAGAAACTCGGCCGAGTGCAGGGGTGAGGACAGAGCCCACCACAGAGCAGGCTCACAGGCCACACATCTCAGCACAGCCACGGAACACTGCTGCCTCCAAAACGCAGAGATAGTCCCTGTCAGCCTAGAGCCCTGAGCCCACAACAGTGCTTTCGTGAATGAGAGCAGCATAAAGATGTTCCCACACACCAATAGTGAGGGAGGTTAGCAAGAGACCTCCTCAAAGGAATGTCTGAAGGATGCTTTTTGAAAAGCAAGAAAATGGTCCTAGAAGAAAAGAAGTCTATAACAAAAGTATGGGAACCAACAAACACCAAGCATGCACATTAGTCCAAGGAACATGATGAGTCCGTACAAAATAATAACAGGAACAAGAACAATGACAGTGTCTAATTTGTGGGTTAAAAAGAGAGAAATAGATTTGAACAATCATAGCATGTTCATCAGTAGGAGGAAGATTTAAGTCCTTATAATGGGATGGGGTTAAAATATGGTTTCTCTGTAGAGTTTAAGTGAAATATGTATGGTACAACCTCAAGAGTAGCTATTAAAGGAATAGAATAAGTCCGGGCACAGTGGCTTACGGCTGTAATCCCAGCACTCTGGGAGGCAGAGGTGGGCAGATCACTTGAGATCAGGAGTTCGAGACCAGCCTGGCCAACATGGTCAAACCCTGTCTCTACTAAAAACACAAAAATTATCCAGGTGTGGTGCTGGGCACCTGTAATCCCAGCCACTTGAGAGGCTGAGGCAGGACAATTGCTTGAACCTGGGAGGTGGAGGTTGCAGTGAGCAGAGATCATGCCACTGCACTCCAGCCTGGGTGACAGAGCAAGACTCCACCTCAAAAAAAAAAAAAAAAAGAATAAAGTATGTAAGTTCTAAGCAAGTAGAGAGAAATAAACGGAATAATAAAAATGAGTGAACCAAGAAAAATCAATCTATAAAAAGGCAATAAAGGAGAAAAACACTAAAAATGGGACAAATGGAATAGAAAGATAGTAGAATCAAGTTCAAATATATCAATAATCACAACAAATGTAAATGGATTAACCTGTCCAACTGTCAGCGTAAAAAATTCTAGGTGTATGCTGGGTTTGCAAAAGACACTTAAATCTTAAGGTTACTGCAAAGTTGAAAGTTAACAGATTGCAAAAGATATTTCAGGCAAACTCAAAAGACACCTTGGTGCAACTATATTTGTCCCAGACAAGTCAGACTTTAAGACCAAAAGCATCATTAGGGAGTGAAGATGGGTTCATGTCACCAGGAAGAGATGATCATTCTGGACATGGATCAACCTCAGAAAACAGCCTCAGACTACAGAGAGCAAAACCTGATAGAACTGAGGGGAACAGCAAACAAATATACTATCGAGGAAGAATATGCCACAGGCATCTCTCAATTACTCATGGTCAAGCACCCCTAAAGTTGACAAAGTGTAGACAATGTGGGTAACATAATATATAACCCTACTCAAATGGACAGAAGCAGAACTGTGTATTGACAATTAGAGAATAGCACATTCATCTAAAAGATGTGCAACGTTTATCAAAGTTGATCAGGTATAAGGCCCTAAAGAAGTCTCAATACATTTTAAATAATAGGTATCATATGTGTTTGAGAACAATGAAATTAATTTGGAAATTAAAAACAAAAAGATGAGTAAAACATCCCCATATATTTGGCAATTTAAAAGCAGACTTTTAAGCAAGTTATGAGTTGACAAAGTCACAATGGAAATTAAAATATACTTAGAACTAAAAGATAAAGAAAAATACTATGAAAAAAATACGGAATGTAGCACATGGAGTATTTTGAGGGAAATTCATAGCCTTGAGTGCTTACATTAGAAAAGAACGAAGGATGCAAATTAATAACCTAAAGTCCAAATTAAAAAGTTAGCAAAACTACAACAGAGTAGATCCAAGAAAAAGAGAGGAAGAAATGATAAATACAGGAGCTGAGATTAATGTGACAGGAAGCACAGCAAGAATCTCACATGAAGTCAAAGTTGGATATTTGAGAAGACTAGCAAGATCCTGTACAAAGTGTAAGACCCCCAGGTATAGGACTCTCAGAGGAGAGAGGCTCTGGTGGAGCAGGACCGGAGGCCCAGTGGGGAGGGGCTGGCATCCTCTGGATGGATGGGATGGGATGCCTGGACACGCCTCCTGTGTTTGGAGCAGGCAAGTCACTGGGAGGACAGAGGAAAGGGTGCCAACGGAGGGAGGCAGAGCCCACACCAGAACCTGACTTGCAGGTAGGAGGAACAAGCTGTGCAGATGTGTGCTCAGAGGCGGCTTCTCCCCACTGCCTCCCGGCCTGTTCCCTGCTCAGCGTCTTGTTCTGCCTGACGTCACCACCCACCTCCCAGGCACGCAGAGCCCCCTCCCTCTGCCTGTATCCTTGCTCCTGCCCCATGTGCAGGTCCATGCTGGGCTCCTCAGGCATGAGCTCATGAGACCCCTGCTGGGAGGACTGTTTACGAGAACCAGCCACAGAGAGGTGGCCAGAGGGAAGAGGCAGGTCCGAGGTGGGGCCGCGGTGCCCTCCACACTATGGCCTTCTCTCCCTTTTGCTGTGCATTGGACTCTGCTGTCGGCATTAGGCTGACATTAGTGTATGGAATCAGGTCGGGGCTGAGGCCACTCTGGGGTGGAGGAGGACAGTGCCACAGGCCCAGGGCACAGCCCAGGCTCCTCTCCTGCTGGCCAGCTCTGTGATCTTGGGCACATTCCGGGGCCTCTCTGGGTCTCAGGGACCCTGGTGTAGAGAGAGTGCTGGGCTGCCTCTTAGGGTTGTGGGAGTAAAAACACGTCAAGTGTTTACTGTGTGCCCCCGGGAATGCACCTGCTCCACGGCATGTCATGAACATGTTCGCACACAGCTGGATGGCTCCCAGGGTGCAGGAAACACCTGGCGTGACCATCCTCTCACTCGAAGCCAGCCCCAGGCTCCCAGGCCTCTCCCAGCCCCTCCAGGGCTCCCTGTGGCTTCCCATGGCCAGGCCCAGGCCTCCCCTCCTGGCACTGTCCCTTGTGCCCCCGTGAGGCGGGGGGTGGTGGTCCCTTGCTGGTCCTTAACCTGGCTCAGCTGGCCCCACAGGGCACTGCTCCCGTGGTCTGGGACATGCCCAGGTCTTTGCAGGGACCATGCTTTCCTCAGGCGTCTGTGCAGCCGCACCTCCCAGGGCCCCTGCGTCATGTGCCCCCCGTCCCGGGCACACGTCTCCACTGTCACCTGCCACCACTGGCTGCCTGTCCTCATAGAGCACATGCTGGCTGAGTAAATGAGCACCATCTACACCAGCCTCGGAGCCCCCTGGGGGCTAAGAACACTGAGCTTGGGATCATTCTGAATTCCCCCGAGAGAGGCCCAGCAGGGACCTCGACCTCACCGTGAACTGGCGCACCTCCCCTCTGTCCACCAGCTCACGGTCCTTCTCGGGTGCAATGGCGTAGGCCAGTTTCTGAAAGAGAAAGAGAGTGCAGGGGTCAGTGCAGACCAGTACCCACTGCCAGCACCCACCACTGACTCACACTGCCAGGACCCTCACCTACCAGCACCCTCACCACCAGCCCTCCTCACCTGCCAATGCCCACCCGCTGGCATCCATATCACCAGCGCCCACCACTGACTTACACTGCCAGTGCCCATGCCGACCAGACAGCCAGTCAGGCCCGAAGCCAACATCCTGACGGTCCCCTTAAAGTCTAGCGCAGAGCAGAACATCAGCATTTGAGCACTCGCTTGAAAATAAAACGTGGTCCTGGAGATGGCTCTTGAGTCTAAGCTACCACGTGTGCTGGGCTCTGAGTAAGAAAGTGCCCACACCCAGGTGGGCTGCCTCGGGGCCACCTGCAGCTGACATATTCCGGGAGCACTTGCTTTTTGTCACCTGCAGCTCTTGGGAGAGTGAACGCTGAACGTGCCTTCCTTCCACTGCCCGCTGCGGCAGCTCCTGGGGCCTGGACAGCACCAAGTCCTCCCAGAGCAGGCAGCATCTTCAGGAGCTCACCCTCTCGGGCCTGGATGCCTGTATCTGGATCTCTGAGGCCAGGTGACCTCTCACAGGGACCCCTGTGCGTGGCCCCACCCCACGTCATCACCACAATTCCACTTGTACCTGGCTCAGCTGCTGAGGTTTTACTTGGCTTACGTTCAGAGTTTGGCCATGCGAGGGGTAAGGGCGCTGGCTGTTCAGGTCCGCCGGGCTGTAGGCATCCTCCAGCTCTGCGCTGACCTGGGCCCCGCCTCCCACGTCCATCCAGCCTCCCAGAGGAGCTCTCTCCCTGCAGAGACTGCCCGGCTGCCTGCTCTTCCCCTGTGCTGGGTCCTGGCAGGTCAGCCCGTGGGGGTCTGAGAGGGACTGTCCACAGCAGGGTGCCATCAGCTTTCCTGGGGCCATGGCAGCCCCAGAGCTCCTCCCACTCCACAGAAGCCCCCAGCCACACACTGTGCTTTGCCTGCACTGGGCCTTGGCCTGGCCAGGCTGCTGGAGAGACTGGCTCAGTGCCAGCCTGAGAGCATCTGCCACATGTCTGAGCCCAGGGGACACCGTGTGGCCCTAAGGTGGAATCCTTGAACACAGCTGGTGCTGCTCTGGGGTTTTGATGCCCAGGGCCAAGCGACTTCTTTCTGAGAAAGGCTGGGATTTGAGGAAGCAGCTTCCGGGAGTTCCCAGTGGTGGGATCTCAGGTGAGGGCGACCCTCTTCCAAGGAGGGAGTGTCCTTGTCTCTTCCTGG
Organism: Homo sapiens; assembly: GCF_000001405.40. Lineage (NCBI taxonomy): Eukaryota > Metazoa > Chordata > Mammalia > Primates > Hominidae > Homo > Homo sapiens. The sequence continues at coordinate 111,745 of NT_187547.1, read as the reverse complement.
AACCACAGAGCCAGGGTGTTAAACAGGGCCCTGTGACTGGTCCACCTGCCTTTCTTCTACACAAAGGCGGCAAAACCAAGCAGAAGAAAGGAGATGCATATCAGTGACTCCGCAAAGCTTCCTCCACTGCCTGGGGCTCCAGCTGCCCCTGTTCAGCCAAAGTTGGGCTCGGCCCTGGGGGGACCTAGATCACCCCTGATTCTACCGCCCTCAGATGGCTTCTGTGTCCACCACACCACATACCATAGTGTGTAGGCATGCATGCACTCAGTACACACAAACACTTGGACACGAATGTGAGCACAGACCCAGGCCCACACACACGTGCACACGGAGACAGCACATACAGACACAGAGATACAGTGGATGTACACACAGGCACAAGCACACACAGACACATGCACACACAGACACACACAGACATGTGGACATACTTAAAGACACACACATGAATACACATATGGACGCACACCCATGGGCCCGGGCGTGCAGGTGGACACACACACGCACACACACACACAGTGTTGTGGTGGCCACCTCCAGTCTCCTCCTCTTGGTCACAGATGACCCAGGCAGGTGAGGACTGGGGCCATGGACACCCACGGAGCCTTTCTGGTGGCCTCACACTCGGGTGAAGGCGCCCCGTCCAAATACCCACCTCTCGAAAGGACCCAGGCAGGCTGCAGAACTTGTAGGCCGCATAGATGGGCACCATGGCCATGGAGGATGTGGCGATGACCCAGCCCAGCGCGTTGGCCCAGTCGGGGAAGATGTAGGCTCCGTAGTGGGGGGGTCTGAAGGTCACAATGCTGACCACGACCACGAACTGCAACCAGCAGATACGGAGGTCAGGCAGCTCTCAGCCGGCGGTGCCAGGACAAAGCAGGGAGCGGGCAGGCACTTCATGGCAGAGCGTCTCTCAGCCCCCACAGCTGTGCAGGTGCAGACCCCGGCCAGGCCTGCAGACATGGCAGCTGGGCATCCCGGGCAAGCCATGTCCTCCTGAAGCATGATCTAGCCTGTCCTGTCCTATCCTGTTCTCTCCCCTCCCCTCCCCTCCCATCCCATCCTGTTCCATCACCTCTCCTCCCCTCCCCTCCCATCCTGTTCTGTCCCCTCCCCTCCCCTCCCATCCTGTTCCATCCCCTCTCCTCCCTTCCCCTCCCATCCCATCCTGTTCTATCCCCTCTCCACCCCTCCCCTCCCATCCCATCCCATCATGTTCTATTCCATCCCATCCTGTTCTATTACATCACATCCGGCTCTATCCCATCCCATCTCATCCCATCCCATCCCTTCCTGCTGTATCCCACCTTGTTCTATTCCTTGCTTGAAATCACAACAAAAACAAAACTGACCACCACCCAGTACACTGAATCTATGATCATCCATGGCCTGAAGACACAACTGTGACCCATGCGGGACCACCCTAGGGCCATCTGAGCTCCGTATCTCTACTCATTCTAGAAGCAAATCTGATAAAGTCACAGACCTGTCTCAGAACCACCACCACAAAGGTAACAGAGGGTGGGGTGGATGCCACTTGGAGGGGAAGCTTCCCACTCTCCAGAGGCTTCTCCTGAGGCAGCTCATGCATTTGTTCATCCACTCCACAAACATGCACCACCATCTAAAAAGATCCTCCATGTGCCTACATATGCACCTCACACCTGAATGTGTTCTGTGCACCCACATGTGTACTGCACGCCTACATATGTGTTCTGTGTACCTGGGTCCTTCCCAAGGACACAAGTGAAGCTCTGATAGATATGGTTTATGATGTAGCTTAAAATGCAATTTTTTCCCAATTGTCCACTTTTCCTCAATTTCAGAAAAGTTAAAACATCCAAGCCTTCCACCTGAAAAGCATGTTGGACGCGTGTCTCATGCCAGTCTCAGCATCTTCTTCATGCGCTACTTCGGGCCACTTGTAGGTTTGGAGCCGGCTAGCGGAGGACTGGGATGGGGGCTGGGGTTGTGTCTGTCACGTGACCAGAGCCAGGGTGAGCAGCACTTTGGCGAGCAAAGCCAGTGGCCTGCAGCATCTGGGATCAGGGGCGGCTGCCTTGGCTGCACAGAGAGCCCTGAGCATGCTTTAAAGAGCCACGCGTGCATCCCTGGACATGTCGGGCTTGCCTATCTGACATGGAGGTATTGCTGTAATGTGCTCTCTGTTATTGTTCAACTTCTTGCTAGATACCACCTTTCTTAGAAAGAACTATGCCTCCCCAGGCCACAGTCTGCCCATGTAAGTTGCCTTTGCTCCGGCATAATTTCCCTTTAGCAGTGCTGTGGCATCATCTGCCACAGAGTCATCTGAACGAGACTGGGGCGTGTACACCCCTTACGACCAGAGGTTAGCACACGCCAGAGGGCAGGGGACTATGCCGCAGCCTGAAGAAACAGATGATAACACAGACGTTATGTTTCTGCTGAAATCAGAACTTCATAGGAATTGTGCTGTCATATTAAATACAAAATGACATAGAGCAATGAAATTGTCATGTTTCTCTCAACTTGGCAAAATGAAGTCCTGTTTCGTATAGTTTGTAGTTTTATCTAAAAGTCTACGAAGTGTGTTTCTGTATGAAGTTCGAAGATTTAGTCTAAGATCAGTAGAACATTTTATCTCCTAAGATCGAGGTCAGCCCTCTGGGTGTTAAGAGGAGACACCCCCTCAAGGGGAGCCAACGTCCTCATGCAAAACAGCTCAGTTTCAACTAATGGCGGGGGAGAGCGGGAGGTGGGCAGGAGGCTGACTTTCTGGGAGGGCTTCCTCACTTTCCCCTCTGAACAGCCATGTAGTCTGTGTGCTATTAAAAGCCCGCCCCATGAATCCAGGAACCTTCAACGGGAGCCTTCACAAGCGCAGTTAACTGGACTTGGAACACTTACGTGCAGCCACACCACGCGGCCTGGAGCTCAGACACGGTGGAATTTCTACAAGATGCCGGGCAGGTTCTCTCACACTATGTTGAGCTCCTCCGGGATAGGGCCTGTCTCTCATCTCTTTCCTGTACCCCGGAACCCCTCTGCTGGCAACTACGGGGCTGTCCCACCTGCTGTGTGCAGGTGACGAGGGGTCTCCACGCACGCGGGCCCTGCTGACTCCGGGACCAGCCCTTGGTCCATGAGAGGGTGCGGCCTGAGTCCCCTGCCCTGTTCCAGTCCCCACCTCGTGCCTGCTGGACTCGGGAGGTGCTTCTCTACGTGAGCAGCTCACGGGACACTCTGCTTAGACTTGGACAGCTCTTAGGTTGCCTGCCCAGATCAGGCAGCACAGCTTTGCTTTGTGAGCCTCCAGGCCTCTGTGGTTCAGTGGGGGAAGCACTGCAGGCAATCCCTAATGAAAGTGTGCGGCCACCTTCCAACAAAACTCTATTTACAAACACCAGCGTCCGACGGCCTTGCCCGGTGGGCCCTGACTCGGTGGCGGATGACAGAAGCAAGTGCCTACTGGACACAGTGATGCTGCTGAGCCAGAGGGAGGCTTGCGTGAGCAACGGGACAGGGCCGAGGCCCCTGCTGCTCTCATCCAGCACTCGGCATCCTTTGTCCCCACTGCCCCGGAAGCTCTAACTTCGACCTTGATCCTCACAGGCAGAGGTGAGTGGACAGCCCGACTCACCTCCAGCTTCCCCTCCCAACACAGAGGCGCGGCCCAAGTGCAGGACTCACAACGGACTGTGACAGGGGTCCAAGACCATGTGAGGTTTTTTCGGTGGGTCTAGAGGGGAGGGTGGAAGCCACCTTAAGGAGACTATAGATGAGTTCAGGGATCAGCCTGTCCTTCTGGGCCGAGTCTTGAGGCCCCTGACTCCAGCCACAGTGACAACCCACATGCGGGCGCTGGACCTCGGGGCAGGTGCCAGAGTGGGGGCAGTGGGCAGACGGGGGAAGGGCAGGTGGCCCGAGGTCCCTTACCAGGAGAAAGCAGGGGCTGACCAGCTTCCAGCACAGCCGCCAGTACAGGCTGGGCCGCTGCCCGGTCATCTGCTGGATGTCGTCGCTGAACTGCCCAACACCTGAGGGAGAAGAGGTGGCATCAGTGTCCATCAGGGCAGCGCATTCCCCCGATGCTGGACACGTGTGGGGGTCCTCGCTGACTCCCAAGGGCCCCACCTACCGGCCCCAGGCTTCGGCTGCACCCAGCCTCCTGCAGAGGAGGCCAGGCCACACCCCAGCCCACTGGGTGCCTCGCTGACGGGTGGGAGCCCACGTGCCTGCTCCACCCTGGAGATGCACCAGGAAGAGCCGTGCCCCGGTGGGTGCTCCCCGCGCCCCGGCAACAGCCCCTCGGGTCCTCCTCCCCATCCCATGGCTCTCCCTGTCTCCCTCTGCTGCTGGTACTTCTTGTTCACTTAAAAAGATTATGGTAAAATACACATAACATAAAACTTACCATTTTAGCCATTTTTACGTGTAGAGTTCATAATGTATCAATACATTCACATACTGTGTAACCGTCACCACCGTCCATCTTCAGAACTCCATCCTCCAAAATGAAATTCTGCCCTCATGAAACGCCAACTCCTCCCGACCCCCAACCCCCGCCAGGCCCCAGCACCATCTGCTTTTTGTCTCAATGAATGTGACTCCTGTGGGAACCTCCCGTCAGTGGAGTCACGTGGCACGGGGCCTCTGCAACTGGTTTACTCCCTGTAGAGTGTCCCTGAGGCCACCTAAGCTGCGGCCCACATCAGCATTCCCTTTTGTTTTAAGGCCGAATCATATTCCGTCATGAGTATACCGTCACTGTGTCTTCAGAAAAGCTATTTCTAGAAACATAATAAACATTTTTTCTCCCCAAAAGCAAGTACCAGCAGTCCACTTTAGAAATGCATATTTTTCTTTCACTGGTATTATCTAACTTCTTCTAGGAACTGACCCTAAGACCTTAAGAGTGGTTTCTCCCCCCACATCTGGCCTGGTCTGTGACTCGTGTGACCGCGGCTGATCTGCTGAGATTTGGGGCAAGTCTTGCGGTTGTCCCGTGTCCCATCAGAAAGAAGCCTCCACACAGAATCCCCTCTTCACACCCACCCGGCATCCGAGCTCTGAACATGAGAGATGGACGTGGGAGGCAGCGGGGATGCAGAGAGGTGAGGCCGGAAGAAGCCAAGAGGGGCGTCCCCAAGGCCCCTCGGCCCCCAGACCCTGCCTCCCACCAGCAGGTCCCAGGGCCCCTGCCGGAGCAGGAGTCATCAGCTCCAAGACCTACAGGACCGCAGCGTGCTGGAAGCCCGGCGTATTCCGGCACATCTTATTAGAGCACAGGTTTTGTTTCATTTAGATGAGAGGGGCGTGGATTTCTCTTTGGAAAAATAACACAGATCTCGGTCTTCTGAGGTGCAGGTCGCCAGGGCCGGCTTCTCCCCATCTCCCGTGGTTCCGGAGGCCATGGCAATTCAAGGCACTTTCTCCCTTCCTCTGTGAAGGTCTATGTTTTGTTCAGGGAAGATGACAATGAAAGTGATAGACAAAGTATTGATTCCAGACACCCGTGAAAGTACGAGGTTGATATTTCCGTTTTCTGTAGAGCAACACTGAAAACAATGTTCTCAGAATAGGAGCTATTTGTCCTATTTGTCTCAAAGTCAGGGCGTTTATCTGGCTATAAATTCCATGGCTCTGAGGCAGAGAAAATGACCCCCTTGTTTGCAGGTGAGCTGGGCGTCCTCCAAAACCGGGGCTCACGCAGCACCACAGACATTCAGCTTTCAGCCGGATCCACACATTTTTTTTTTTCTTTTTTGAGACGGAGTCTCACTCTGTTGCCCAGGCTGGAGTGCAGTGGTGCAATCTCGGGTGACTGCAACCTCCGCCTTCCGGGTTCAAGCTGAATCATATTCCATCGTAAGTATACCATCAGTGTCTTCAGAAAATCTACAGCCTCCTGACTAGCTGGGATTATAGCCTTGTGCCACCACACCCGGCTAATTTTTTTTTTTTTTTTTTTTAGTAAAGATGGGGTTTTACCATGTTGGCCAGGATGGTCTTGATCTCTTGATCTCGTGATCTGCCCACCTCGGCCTCCCAAAGTGCTGGGATTACAGGCGTGAGTCACCGCGCCCGGACCACACATTCATGGCGAGATGCCCTGGCTCGGCCTCGCCACTTCCCTGGAAGTGAGCTGGCCAGGTAAGCGGAGCTGGCACTCCTGCCCATTTTACAGAAGAGAGAACTAAGGGGAGTCGAGGTGACTTGGCCAGGTCAGCATGTGGGGAAAGGGCAGCCCTGGCTCCAGGCTGGGTTTTCTGTTGCTGTTTAAACCACTGGTGGAAGTCCCAGGACACAGCTGGGGCAGCACAATGGGCCAGGAGCTGCACCCCGTTCGAGCGCCGCCCGCTGATCATCAGGTCCCGACTGCTCTGGAGCTCTGGTCAGCAGGGAAGGCGATGACGGCACCTTTGAAAGGCACCATGTCACATCCCTGCTGAAACCCCAGCATGGATCTGATTGTGTTCCCCTGGGTGGGATGGGCTCACCGGTGCCTCTAGCGTGGAGGAGGCAGAAGACGCCCAGCCGCTGTGAACACCTCTGACCACAGTGTGCCTCTTCTGGCTGCCATCCAAGCTAAGCACCTCACTGATCCCATCAAAGGGACCAGTGCCAAGCCTCTCCCCTCTGCGGAGCTGTGATGACCACAACCCAGGCTTCCTGCAGCTGAAAGGTGTTTCCTCACGGAGCCTTTTTCAGAAGGGGAGTGGCACAGCCACCAAACAAGAGGGTGCCGGCTTGGCTGCCTCCCCCCGGACTCACCATAGAACCAGGCCACTCCGATGGCTTCGATGAGCACTCCAAAGAGGATGGACGTGCCGGCTGCAAAATGGTCCAGGAGCGTGAAGACGTAGATGCCACCCTGGAAGAGAGGGGAGCCTGTGGACCTACAGAAGGGCTTTCCCCAGAGGTAAACCCAGCCTGGGGATTCACTGTGCACACAAATTGTTTCACTCACTGCAAAACTCTGGTTTGAGTCCCTAAAATTCAACCCACATGCAGCTTCTTAGGGCCACGTGTATTACAAAAAATAAAAATAAAAATGACCTCTCCTTTCCCTTCCTAGGGCTTCATGTGCAATTAGAAATGGAAGCAACCGAATGCGGAACTTGGCAGTGCCTCCCTTGGAGAGGGAGTGGCCTGGGCTCCCCCTCCCACATAGATAGGCTCTGCCACCACACCCCCAGCGTCCCCCAGTCCCCAAACCCTAGAAGGAGGCAGCTTCAGCCTGGGGTGCTTCTGGGGGAGCTGTCCAGGTGCTGAAGTGACTCTGGGACCAAGCTCTGGATGTGCAGTTACCCTGTGCACTGCTACGAGTCATTTTCTGGGGTGGGTGGGTTCGCAGCTCCCTGGAAGTGCTGCGGTTCTGTCTGGCCTGACAGTCCCAGCCAGGGCGCCCCGTGCCACGTGCTAAGGAGACATGACCAGGAGAAGGCGAAGCCGGCGATGGTACGTACGTTGGTGACGCAGAACAGGGACAGGAGGAAGGTCGCCAGGACGATGAAGAGCGTGAAGAGCTCACGGTGTCTGTGCAGCAGCTGGAACTCATCGATGAGCCCGGTGATCACTGACTCCATACCACCCATCTGCACACAGAGCACAGGGTCGGGCTGCAGGCTGGCGGCGCTCCTGACCGCAGCCTGGGCCAAGACCTACTTGTCACCCAGTGGACGCACACCCGGGGATGGACACGGAACAGGGGCCACATGGCCGTCCAGGGTGCAGGATGCCTGGTAGTGAGGACAGCTGTTGGCGAGGGCTTCTATGGCGGCACGACCGCAGGAGAGAGGACCCAGAGGGACCACTGTATCCACGGTAGGGGGTTTGCAGCCTCTTCGATGTCTCTGGGTGGGTAAGATGCGGCATGGCTAAAACAATGCCACCCTGTCCACTGCTGCTGCACGGGCTCAGCTTGGCCAGATTTTCCTGAGCAAGATGCGTCCCCCACACAAAGCTTTCAGCTGCACCTGGCCTTGTCATTGGCTACGCCTTCCCGACGGAGCCTCCTGACTCCTGGCATCCTCCTGTGGGACACCGTCCAGGCACCTGACTCCTGCTTAGTGACCTTCTTCACCTTGCTCGGTCCAGACCCCTCTTCATGCTCTCATGTCAGGAACATGAGGCCTGTGGTCAACCCAGGAGCCGTGGACGAGGTGGATAGGATATGAGTGGGGGGCCGGGTGCATGACCAGCGTTTATAAGGCAAGGGATTCTGGGTTCTTTGGTCCCAAGCAGCTGACAGGGAAGAAGGAGCCTGAGAAAGTCCAGCAGGCCCAGGGCCGATCAAGGGCTGGACCCGCCACCCCCAGCAGCTGGAGGTGCAGGGGCCACACACAAAGCATTCAGGGCCAGGCCTGGGATTGGTAGGTGCCAGGAACTTCTGTTGCCCTCCTCATTCCTCATGGGGTAGCTGAGGCTTCCAGGGAAAGCCACGAGATATGAAGGACCTGCTGTGTGCCCTCCAAGGCCCCACCACTCTGGTGTCCGGAGCCAAGTCTTTGGTGGCTGGGGCCCTGCTACACGTGCATGCATGTCTGTGTGTATGTGTGTGTGCATGCGTGTGTGCATGTGTGTGTTCGTGTGTGTTCATGTATGTGTGCGTGTGTGCATGTGTGTATGTGTGTGCATGCATGTGCATGGTGGTGTGAATGTGTGTGTTCGTGTATGTGTGTATGTGTGTGCGTGTATGTGTGTGTGTGCATGTGTGTGCACATTTCCAGGATCTGTAGGTGGCTCAGGGCAGGGCACACAGGTACCCCAGAGTAGGGGGATAAAGGGAAAGGTAAACTCCAGTCACCACTCACTCCAGCCCCGAGAAAGGTCTCCCAAATAATCACGGGGCTCGCCCAAGTCAAGGACAGGAGGTCTGGGGGCCGTACGTGAGCCCAGGGATCTTGCCTAGCCCTGGGAGGGCAGGGCCCCCTCGGGTGGAAGGAACCCAACTGCCGAGGACAGGGCCGGGCGGTGCGGGTTACTCACGGCGCTGTCGATACCCAGGGTGAGCAGCATGATGAAGAAGACCACGGCCCAGGCTGAGGACAGAGGGAGCGTGGCGATGGCTTCCGGGTAGATGATGAAGATCAGCCCTGGCCCTGAAACAGAACCCGCCCTGCTTGCCACAGAGCCCACGCTGTGCTCTCCCGCCCATCCTGCCCCACCCCGCCCCGAGAAGCATGGCCTGCCACAGGCCTGTAGAGACTAGGGCTGGTGCGGCTCTGCTGAAAAGCCCCCTTCTATATGTCCAGCAGACCAGGCCTGGGACTCAGGAAAGCGGAAACCCAGAACTGATCAGAGGGCTTTGGTTCATGCCCACCACCCAGCAATGGGGCTCCTCCAAATTACCTGGGTCCTTTTGGGCTATGGGGGTGCTTGGGGAAGGAAGGGGCAGAAACAAGGAGGAGCAGGAGGGGCTTCCAGGCTGGTCCTGCCCTTCATCCCAGGGACATCTGCTAATGTCCTTCGAGTTAGTTTTTCCTGCACATACCATGCAACATACACACTCAGACACACATACCATGCAACATACACACTCAGACACACATACCATGCAACATACACACTCAGACACACATACCATGCAACATACACACTCAGACACACATACCATGCAACATACACACTCAGACACACATACCATGCAATATACACACACAGACACATGCGCGCACATGCACGAACACTCATTTGTGCATTCAAACTCATACATGCAAGAACACATCCACATGCACGCACACAAACAGAAACATGCACGTGCATGCACAAACATACACACACAAACACACACAAATCACACACGTCCACACTATTTAGTAGCCTAATTTCTAAAATTAGCAAAACATTTAGGGATACATTCCTGACCTCCGCCTTCCAGGCACATGAGGAAGCTGAGGTCCTCCCACCCTCCCGTGAGGTTAGACGTGGCTGCACTTGGCCAATGTGCTGTGAACCCACAGTGAGCGGGTCCCTGCGAGTGAAGCTTGGTAGAGGAGTGTGTGGCTCCTTCACCACCTCCCCTGCCACGGGGTCCCGCAGGCCATATTGAGACAGGCTCCTGTCAGCTGGGGCCCTGAGGGCTCAGAGGAGCAGCACATCCTGATGGATACAGGGGCCCAGATGGTGGCTTCGGAGATAAGAGACAAACCTGCTACCTTGCTATCCCTGCAAGCGAGGGGCACGCCAGGCTGAGGGCGGCATGGCAAAGGCGGAGGAGGTGTTCCCCCACAGCTCTCTTGGGAAACGACACGTGCTTCCTGCTACCAGCAGGCAGACTCGGATGGAGGTGGAGGGGACGAGAGTGTGGCAGGCAGGCGACCAAAAGTCAACGCAGTTTGGTCTCTGATGACCCCAAAGTAAAAACCAGTCCCATAGGCAATTGACCTTTGACCATTTCAGAAGCCTTGCATCCTCCACTGGCTGGCACCATCTCCCAAGCCCAATCTGCCTGCAACAGAGTCCCCTGTCCTCAGCAGGCACGTGTCTGGCCCTAGCCTGCAGGAATAGGCCTGCGCCTGGCCTTTTAAATAATCAAAGGCCAGAGCCAGGGGCCGTTCCTAAAGGTCTTTCAGGGGCCTCACTATCAGCCAAGCAGCGGGGTCAGACCTGGGCTCTCGCAGCTCCCAGATACCCTGGTGGATGGGGACAGCCTCCGCGTGGGGTGGGGGAGGCAGGCTCGCCTGAGATGTTCCGGGGCTTAGATGGTACCAGCCAGGAGCCTGGGAAGATATTCATCAGCTCAGGGAATGTAATGTCAACACCCGTGCCTTCGTTTCTGTACCTAAGTTAACATTTCACCCTATTTTCTTGAGAATTAAGGCTGTAAATGACATTTACTTTGCTTGTCATGAAATGCACAGAAGAACATTCAACTTTATTTTCAGGGGTTAATAGAGGTTTTTGCAAACTATGCTCGTTATCATAATAAAGGGCAAAAAGAATGAAGAAAAGGCATAAATGCGGCACCGAGTAAATTTCACTGCTCTGCATTTATTTGCAGATGTTCCCTTTCTCCCGCTTTGACTGAATTTTTTTTCCTAGTGGAAAGAACATGGGCTTAGGAGGCCCACCTCTGAGCTGTGGCTCCAGCCCCGACCCTGGCTTTCTGTTGCAAGCATGGAGTGGGCCCTTTCAGGTCTCTGAGCGTGTTCCTACCTGCGGTGCGAGGGTCCTAGTGCCCCACTCTGTGAGACTCAGGTGCGGTCAAGGCTGCCCCCGCTTGGTGCTTGTCGCTCCCCGCCTTCACTGAGCCTCAACACCCAGGCAGAGATCAGTCAGCAACAACACCCACACGGGACAGGGGCTTTTCTGAGCACAATCATTCCTCACAAATGTAGTGCCCCCACCCCACCCCCGGAGAAGACAGTCCAGAGGAAGCAAGGATGGGGACGCAGCATGGGAGCCCACCCAACCCAGGCCCGTGTCTGGAGCGAAAGGGCCTCCTCCACATCCATGTGGCAGAGCAGGCCGGGAGGCAGGCGGGGGCTCTGCTGGCTGACAGAGACCGAGAAGCCTTGGGACTCCCTGGAGCTCTCGGTTGGCCCAAGTTAGGGCTGCCAACGCCACAGCTTTCCACTGCAAGCACCGGAGCCAGGCACGTGGCCCCAAGTGCCTGGGCCCACTCTCAGCCCCTGCATCTGTGCCCGTCCTGCCGGCTCCATCCTGCCTGGCACACTTCTTGCTGTGGCCAAGGCCTCCCCCCACCACTCACCTGTGCCTGCCCGAGACCTGGACCCCTCCCCACCCTCTCGGAGACAACTCCAGGCGTGCAGGGACACTCAGCGTCATGCGTCGGCCTGGGGAGCGGGCAGGGACACCCTGTGCTGGAGGCCCCAGGGATCTCCCGGCTGCTCTGTGGCCAAGCTGATGTTTGCGGCATCCCAGCCTGCCTCCAGGTGTTGCTGGAACAGCTCATTCCTCCCCTTCCCTGAGCTGCATGTTCCCACACCGCGTGGCAAGCAAACATCTAGAGGGCCCTCAGTGACAGCATCTACGCCAGACCCTGGTGGGGCAGCCTCATGTGGCATCTGCAGGGAGCAGTCGAGGGACTGAGGCACCAACTATGCTGCTCAGCTGCATTTGGGCTTGAGGTTCCCCAGCCCAGGGTGGAGGCCCCGAGAGGCACAAGGCAGGAAAGGCACTGGGTGGGGGGGCCGGGAGGGGCAGGGCAGGAAAGGCACTGGGTGGGGGGGCCGGGAGGGGCAGGGCAGAGAAGGCACTGGGTGGGGGGCCGGGAGGGGCAGGGCGGGGAAGGCACTGGGTGGGGGGCCGGGAGGGGCAGGGCGGGGAAGGCACTGGGTGGGGGGCCGGGAGGGGCAGGGCAGGGAAGGCACTGGGTGGGGGGCCGGGAGGGGCAGGGCGGGGAAGGCACTGGGTGGGGGGCCGGGAGGGGCAGGGCGGGGAAGGCACTGGGTGGGGGGCCTGGAGGGGCAGGGCGGGGAAGGCACTGGGTGGGGGGCCGGGAGGGGCAGGGCAGGGAAAGGCACTGGGTGGGGGGCCGGGAGGGGCAGGGCGGGGAAGGCACTGGGTGGGGGGCCGGGAGGGGCAGGGCAGGGAAGGCACTGGGTGGGGGGCCTGGAGGGGCAGGGCGGGGAAGGCACTGGGTGGGGGGCCGGGAGGGGCAGGGCGGGGAAGGCACTGGGTGGGGGGCCTGGAGGGGCAGGGCGGGGAAGGCACTGGGTGGGGGGCCTGGAGGGGCAGGGCGGGGAAGGCACTGGGTGGGGGGCCTGGAGGGGCAGGGCGGGGAAAGGCACTGGGTGGGGGGCCGGGAGGGGCAGGCGGGGAAGGCACTGGTGGGGGGCCAGGAGGGCAGGCGGGAAGGCACTGGTGGGGGGCTGAGGGCAGGCGGGAGCACTGGGTGGGGGCGAGGGCAGCGGGAGCACTGGTTGGGGGCGAGGGCAGGCGGGAGCACTGGGTGGGGGGCCAGGAGGGGCAGGGCAGGGAAGGCATTGGGGGGGGGGCCGGGAGGGGCAGGGCGGGGAAGGCACTGGTTTGTCCGGGAGGGGCAGGGCGGGGAAGGCACTGGGTGGGGGGCCGGGAGGGGCAGGGCAGGGAAGGCACTGGGTGGGGGGCGGGGAGGGGCAGGGCGGGGAAGGCACTGGGTGGGGGTTTCGGGTGGGGCAGGGCAGGGAAGGCACTGGGTGGGGGGCCTGGAGGGGCAGGGCGGGGAAGGCACTGGGTGGGGGGCCTGGAGGGGCAGGGCGGGGAAGGCACTGGGTGGGGGGCCGGGAGGGGCAGGGCAGGGAAGGCACTGGGTGGGGGGCCGGGAGGGGCAGGGCGGGGAAGGCACTGGGTGGGGTGCCGGGAGGGGCAGGGCGGGGAAGGCACTGGGTGGGTGTTCGTTTTTCAGGGCGGGGAAGGCACTGGGTGGGGGGCCTGGAGGGGCAGGGCGGGGAAGGCACTGGGTGGGTGTACGGGAGGGGCAGGGCGGGGAAGGCACTGGGTGGGGGCTTTTGTCTCAGGGCGGGGAAGGCACTGGGTGGGGGGCCGGGAGGGGCAGGGCGGGGAAGGCGCTGGGTGGGGGGCCTGCCGGGGCCGGGCAGGGAAGGCACTGGGTGGGGGGCCGGGAGGGGCTGGTCGTAAGGCACTGGGTGGGGGGCCTGGAGGGGCAGGGCAGGGCGGGGAAGGCACTGTATGGGGGGCCGGGAGGGGCAGTGCTGGGAAGGCACTGAGTGGGGGGCCGGGAGGGGCAGGGCAGTGAAGGCGCTGGGTGGGGGGCCGGGAGGGGCAGGGAAGGGAAGGCACTGGGTGGGGGGCCGGGAGGGGCAGGGCGGGGAAGGCACTGGGTGGGGGGCCGGGAGGGGCAGGGCGGGGAAGGCACTGGGTGGGGGGCCGGGAGGGGCAGGGAAGGGAAGGCACTGGGTGGGGGGCCGGGAGGGGCAGGGAAGGGAAGGCACTGGGTGGGGGTCCGGGAGGGGCAGGGCGGGGAAGGCACTGGGTGGGGGGCCGGGAGGGGCGGGCAGGGAAGGCACTGGGTGGGGGGCCGGGAGGGGCAGGCCGTTGAAGGCACTGGGTGGGGGGCCGGGAGGGGCAGGGCGGGGGCCCCTGGTGGGGGGCCTGGAGGGGCAGGGCGGGGAAGGCACTGGGTGGGGCAGGGCGGGGATGGCACTGGGTGGGGGGCCTGGAGGGGCAGGGCGGGGAAGGCACTGGGTGGGGGGCCGGGAGGGGCAGGGCGGGGAAGGCACTGGGTGGGGGGCCGGGAGGGGCAGGGCGGGGAAGGCACTGGGTGGGGGGCCGGGAGGGGCAGGGCAGGGAAGGCACTGGGTGGGGGGCCGGGAGGGCAGGCCAGGAAAGCACTGGGTGGGGGGCCGGAGGGCAGGGCAGGAAGGCACTGGTGGGGGCCGGAGGGCAGGCAGGGAAGCACTGGGTGGGGGCCGGAGGGGCAGGGCAGGGAAGGCACTGGTGGGGGGCCCGGGAGGGGCAGGGCACGGAAGGCACTGGGTGGGGGGCCGGGAGGGGCAGGGCAGGGAAGGCACTGGGTGGGGGGCCGGGAGGGGCAGGGCAGGGAAGGCACTGGGTGGGGGGCCGGGAGGGGCAGGGCGGGGAAGGCACTGGGTGGGGGGCCGGGAGGGGCAGGGCGGGGAAGGCACTGGGTGGGGGGCCGGGAGGGGCAGGGCAGGGAAGGCACTGGGTGGGGGGCCGGGAGGGGCAGGGCGGGGAAGGCACTGGGTGGGGGGCCGGGAGGGGCAGGGCGGGGAAGGCACTGGGTGGGGGGCCGGGAGGGGCAGGGCGGGGAAGGCACTGGGTGGGGGGCCGGGAGGGGCAGGGCGGGGAAGGCACTGGGTGGGGGGCCGGGAGGGGCAGGGCGGGGAAGGCGCTGGGTGGGGGGCCGGGAGGGGCAGGGAAGGGAAGGCACTGGGTGGGGGGCCGGGAGGGGCAGGGCGGGGAAGGCACTGGGTGGGGGGCCGGGAGGGGCAGGGCGGGGAAGGCACTGGGTGGGGGGCCGGGAGGGGCAGGGAAGGGAAGGCACTGGGTGGGGGGCCGGGAGGGGCAGGGAAGGGAAGGCACTGGGTGGGGGGCCGGGAGGGGCAGGGCGGGGAAGGCACTGGGTGGGGGGCCGGGAGGGGCAGGGCGGGGAAGGCGCTGGGTGGGGGGCCTGGAGGGGCAGGGAAGGGAAGGCGTTGGGTGGGGGGCCGGGAGGGGCAGGGCGGGGAAGGCACTGGGTGGGGGGCCGGGAGGGGCAGGGCGGGGAAGGCACTGGGTGGGGGGCCGGGAGGGGCAGGGAAGGGAAGGCACTGGGTGGGGGGCCGGGAGGGGCAGGGAAGGGAAGGCACTGGGTGGGGGGCCGGGAGGGGCAGGGCGGGGAAGGCACTGGGTGGGGGGCCGGGAGGGGCAGGGCGGGGAAGGCGCTGGGTGGGGGGCCTGGAGGGGCAGGGCGGGGAAGGCGCTGGGTGGGGGCAGGTCTGTACTGGGATGTGTACCACCATCCTTCAAGAGTGAGGCAGCAACTCTCACTGAAGTCGCTCAGGGCCCATGCGTCTCCTTCCTCTTTCACAAGGAAAAAGGCTTTGCTGAGAGCTCGGCGCTGGTGCTACACGGAGCAGGCCCAGGTGCAGCAGGAGGGGCTCACCGTCCTTGGCCACGTCCCCGATGGGCACACTGTGCTTCTGTGCCATGTACCCCAGGAAGGAGAAGACGACGAAGCCGGAGGAGAAGCTCGTCAGGGAGTTGATGGAGGTGGTGACAATCGCGTCCCTGTAAGAACAAGACACGCCGTCTCAGGAACCAGCTGAGCTGCAGCAGCTGCAATTTTCCAGTCATTATTCTTAATTTACTGTGTCTGGGGAAGGGGGCGGGAGGTCTTCGGAGGGGCTACTTTTCCCAGTGAGCACGGCCAGCTCCTTAGCAGCCTGGCAGAGCTGTCCTTGGGCCACCTTGGTCCCCTAGCTGAGCTGCTCAAGGCTCAGCCATCAAGGCTCAGGGTGGGCAGAACAGACGGCCACCCCTGTGCCCCGCGAGTCTTGCTGTGGACACCTCACCCAGGGCAGATCTTCCAGAAGCTCTAGGAGCACACACCTCCCGGGGACCTCGCTAAGATGCAGATCCTGACTGGGCGGGTCTCATGGGGTCTCGGGGGCTGTGTTTCCCATGAACTCCCAAGGGCGCTGGTGCTGCGGGCCTGGGGGCCCCACTCTGAGGGCTGAGAAACCAGAGAGCTGGAGGCAAGCGAAGGACGAAGAGGGAGGGTCCTGGGGTCGGTCAGGGCACCAGCGTCCTCCTCCTGGGTTCCTGTGTGGCCTGTCACTGGGGTGGAAGGACCACACACTTCATCTGCAGAGCACCTGGACCCAGGTGGACGCAGGTGGGCTGCGGGCAGGCGCTGCCTCAGGACCTGCCTTCCAGCGCCCACTCTCAGTGAAGCCTGCTTGTGGTCTGCCTGGCCATTCTGCTGCTCACACTGTCCTTGTATTTTTACCGTGTTTCTAGCCTCATGATGTGAAAGAAAGTAAGCACAAGTCCATAAAGGTCAAAGCAAGCAGATCCCGGATAAAATTCTGTTTCTGTTTTTAGAAGGATTTGGGGTCCGGCACGGGGCTTCAGGTGCCTGCCAGTAAGTAACACGGGGTGCATATGGGATGGGGGGACACACTCAGGGGGTTGTGAAGCTGGACCCTGAGCGAGGGAGGACAGAGACCCCCCGGGGCTGGTGTGAGGGAAGAGGGTGTGTCCTTGTGGAGGGAGGGGCTGGCCTTGCCACTTGGGGCCCTCAGTGGGGAATCTGGCCGCAGGTCAAACCTAGGCAGGTCCCTCCCAGGAGGCGACACACCCACTGGCTTCAGTGCCTTCTTTAAAGTTGAAATCAAAATCGTGTTGGGAGCTGCCTCGCTGTCGCTTCTGTCTGAAAGGCCACGCAGCTCACAGGTTTGCGGGTTCAGTGGATCCGCCCTGTTCTCATCCAGGGACACACTATTTCTGGAAGTCAGCGACCTCTCCCTAGTATTGATGAGGCCCCTGCCTGGCCCTGCTAGGGGCTCACCTGTAGCAGTTGTTGGTGAACTTGTTGTAGCTGGAGAAGGCGATCAGCACCCCGAACCCCACGCCCAGGGAGAAGCACACCTGGGTGGCCGCGTCAATCCAAACCTGCAGAGCCAGAGGGCGGTGAGAGGCTGTCCCAGGAGAACGCAGGCCACAGGCAAAGGACCTGAGCACCCTTCCTGTCCCAGCCCCACACTGAGGCCTCTAAACTCAACACCATCCTCAAGAAGTAAATGGCAGCAGACGACTGGTGGAAGATGCAGCCTCAGGAAGTGAACCCTCCCGGGCCAGCGGCCTGGAAGAGCCTGAGAAGCAGGGGGCTGTCTGTGTTCATTGATCTGGGATTCCCCATGGAGTATCAAGGCAGCGATTCCACAGAACCAGAGGTGCCCTGCTCCATAGCCCTCAGAACAGCATGGACTCATCCACACACGGCATGACCACAGCATCCTAATAACCCTCGGAACAGCACGGCCTCATCTACACAAAACATGACCACAGTGTCCTAATAACCCTTAGAACAGCACGGACTCACCCACACACAGCATGACCTCAGCGTCCTAATAGCCCTCAGAACAGCACGGACTCATCCACACACGGCATGACCGCAGCGTCCTAATAGCCCTCGGAACAGCACGGACTCATCCACACACAACATGACCGCAGCGTCCTAATAGCCCTCAGAAGAGCACGGACTCATCCACACACAACATGACCGCAGCGTCCTAATAGCCCTCGGAACAGCACGGCCTCATCCACACATGACATGACCGCAGCGTCCTAACAACCCTCGGAACAGCACAGATTCATCCACATGCTGCATAATGGTGGCACCCTGATAACCCTCAGAAAGTCATGAACTCATCCACACACAACATGACCGCGGCGCCCTGATAACCCTCAGAACAGCATGGACTTATCCACACTCACACCAGCCCTAGCGGGGTCTCCATCCTCCCTTGATCAGGGTCCAGCTTCACAACCCCCTGAGTGTGTCCCCCCATCCCATGTGCGCCCTGCTGCATGATGGCAGTGCCCTGAAACCCTCAGAACAGCACAGACTCAACCACAGGCTACATGATGGCGGCTTCCTGATAACCCTCAGAACATCATGGATCATCCACAAGCTGCATGATGGCGGCGCCCTGATAACCCTCAGAACAACATAAACTCATCCTGAGGCTACATGATGGTGGCGCCCTGACAACCCTCAGAACAGCATGGATCATCCACATGCTGCATGATGGCAGCACCCTGATAACCCTCAGAAAGGCATGGACCCATCCACATGCTACATGATGATGGTGTCCTGATTGGACGCACACCAGCAATGCCTGCTTTGTATCCTTCCCAAAACATGAGCAGTACAGGTGCACAGTGGCACCTGGGCATGGCCAGGAGCCCACCTGCAGCTTAGACACTGGTGCTGTGCCTGCCCAACTCGGTGGATGGCACCCACAACTCTGGACGTGAAAGGAAAGGTGGGTGGGTCCACGATTGGACCATTGTGGTATTTTAAAAAGTCAGCCACAACCTGCTAAGGTGAGGGCACTGCGGAGACCATTCAGTGACTCAGATGCCCACCTTGCCCTTCCCTGGGCCTTGGATGGGGGAGAAGGAGCAGCCAACCCCCCCTTGGAGGCATTTGAGGGACTGGTCAGTTAGGGCTGTTCCTGCAAGTCCCTGGAGCCCATGGTACAGGCCTGTGGGCCAGGATGCTGAGGCAGAGACACCAGATGCTCCTGCTGGGGAGGCCAGGTGGGTCTCAGGGCATCCCAGGTCCCAGGTCAAGCTTGCCTGAGCTTGACTGAGCAAGGGAACTGGGTGCTGCAGAGGGGGCGGGGCCCTCTGTCCTTTGGGCAGCATGTCAGAGCCTCAAGGCAACCCCAGTTCCTGGGACAGTGTGTTTGGAGGCAGATGGCCAGGCCCCGCAGTCAGGACTCTGCAGGTGGCCAGTGTTTCAGCATGAGGGGAGGAGCCAAGCCGAGAGTGGCTGGGTGGGCAGTGGGTGGAGAGGCTCATACCCTGATGTGGCTCCCATGCTGGTCATCAGCCACCTGCCTGGCCAGGTAGCTGCAGGCTGGATCAGGTGTCACAGGGGAGCGCCTGCCTCCTCCTCACCCTGATCTGTGTGTGCAGCTCAGGCCTCTGCCCAGTGCCACCCCAGAGCCAGTGCCCATGGCTGCCTCCCTGGGCCTCACCTCATGCACTTTCACTCCAGGACCTGCAATTGTCCTTTCCTTCCATTTCTTTCCTGATTTCTCTTCACTATACATCAATCCATCATCTATTATCTATCAATCAATCATCTATCTATCTATCATCTATCACTGTCATCTATCAATCCATCACCAATCTATCATCTATCTGTCATCTCTATAATCTATCAACTGTCTATCATCTATGAATATATGAAGTACATGTGTGTGTATGTATCTATCTCCATCCATCCTATTGTATATCCATCCTATCTACCTACCTATCATCCATCCATCCACCCATCCATCATCCATCCATCCACCCATCCATCATCGATCCATCCATCCATGCTATCCAGCTACCTATCATTCATCCATCCACCCATCTGTCCATCATCCACCAATCCACCCATCATCCATCCATCCATCCATCCACCCACCCATCCATCATCCATCCATCCATCCATGCTGTCCAGCTACCTACCTATCATTCATCCATCCACCCAAACATCCATCATCCAGCAATCCACCCATCATCCATCCACCCACCCGTCATCCATCCATTATCCATCCATCCATCCATCCTATCTAGCTACCTACCTATCATTCATCCACCCATTCACCCATCCATCATCCATTCATCATCCATCCATCCATCCATCCATGCTATCCAGCTACCTACCTATCATTCATCCATCCACCCAGCCATCCATCATCCAGCAATCCACCCATCATCCATCCACCCATCCATCCCATCCATCATCCATCCATTATCCATCTGTCCATCCTATCTAGCTACCTATCATTCATCCACCCATTCACCCATGCATCATCCATTCATCCATCCATCCATCCATCCATCATCCATCCATCCATACTATCCAGCTACCTACCTATCATCCATTCCTCCATCCACCCATCCATTATCCATACATCCAGCCAGCCAGCCTTCCATCCACCCATCCTATCTATCCATTCTATCTACCCACCTATCATCCATCCATCCTATCCACCTACTTACCTAGCATTCATCCATCCATCCATCCATCCATCCATCCATCCATCCATCCATCCATCCATCCAATCTATTCACTGTCTCCACCTAATTTCTGACATCTCATCTTTGTAATTTGTTCTCCAGTGAGCATCTTTTCACATGCACTGGTGTTTGTTTTGCCTCCTCCTGGGGCTGCCTATTCTTCCTAGCTGGAGCACTAGGCTCTACGTTGTCCTTGTGGTATTTTTCTTTGATTCTGTAACATGCCATGGTCCTGCAAACACACCCCTTGGCTTCATTTTGGCCTTTCTGGGGTCCAGACGCCCTGCTGACTTCATGGTTTGTCTGGCTCCAGCTCTGCACTTGTGGGCCCCCGGCCACAGCTGATTTTGCTGCCCTGGTTGTCCTCCTCTCTCTTCCTTGGCTCCCGTGGGCCACACGCCTGCTGCACCCATGGCTCCTGTCTCCACAGGGCTTCCCCTTCAGTGCTGCAGGCACACTTCCACCCCCACCCCCACCCAACTGCTTTGCAGCCTCATAGGTGCCATGTCCAGGTGCCCTCTCTCACTGCACCTGTCAGCTGCTGCCTCCCTGGGGCTTCCTGGGAGGCTTGCAGCCATGCCCGCCCATCCCTTCTCCCCTTCCTTCCCACTTCTGCCTTGGGTTTACACTTGCCTCATGACCCCCAGACCTGGCTCCACCGGCCCACCCACACAGGGCAGCACCTCTCAACGGCCTCCTGCCTCATACCCCAGCTGAGATGGCCCTTCCCCTCTTGCTGCATTGTCCTCCCACAGCAACATGGATGCCCCTGGGCGGCTTTGGGGCCTGCCACCTCCCCCACTTAGTCCACCTGATTTCCAACGATGCCCCAAGGGAGCTGCCATTTTTGTCATGCCAGCCTTCCGCCAACAGCTGCTTCTGTTTCTGGGCCTGTTTGCCAGGAAGGGTGCAGCCCTTTCTCCTCCCTTTCTGGACAAGGGTCCCATCCCCCATGGCCCAGCTGAGTCTCCTCTCTCCGGGAGGCTTTCTCCAAATATTTTAACCCTGAATTATGTCTTCTTTTGCTGACCAAAGCTGCAGCCTGAGTCTAGATGGAGTTTCTGATGTAATTTGATTTAGATGACTCGTGCTGTATCACAGGTACTTGGGATTTGGCTTCCCGAGGAAAGAACCCTGGTGTCTGCAACTCTGACACCTCTCAGCCCTGGCAGGCAATGCATATGGAAACCTGGGAATGCCAGAGCCCCTGTGGACTGTGAAGCAGTGAGCAGACTGTACTCACAGACGCCTCGCAGAGCCGGTAGAAGTCAACGCTCAGGTATGCTCTGATGCCGTCTATGGCTCCAGGGAGGGTGACCCCACGCAGGAGCAGGGCAGTGAGGACCACGTATGGCATGGTGGCTGTGATCCATACCACCTGCAGGAGAGGACAGTGTCACCAGGCTGCACAGGCAGGGCCCTTGGTGGGAGCAGACACTGGCACAAGGGCACCGGGTTGCCCTGACGGCTTGTCCTCTGATTGGGAGGCCCAATTCCCAAACATTTCCTGGGACGCCAGCTCAGCAAATGCTCCTTGGAGTGAGAAGGTCAGACACTTTCTGTCCTGCACACCCTCCCCAGGGATGGAAAGGGAAGAACAACTTGGCAGGGAAAGCACATTCCTTTTCTGCATTCGGTCCGCCAGAGTAGCTGGGAGTGGCTGATGGGGGTTTTCTGATGCGTGGGACGTGAGTGGATTCACACTGGTGAACGGCACTGTGGCACGATGAAGGGCTGCTCTGGGCTGTGTCCCTGCGGGAGGCTCCCGTGGCTGGTGCCATACTACACGCACTTTTCCAAGGGAGGAGTCGTATCTTGGTCAAAACTGGTTTTGGCCCATATAACAACCAAAGTTTTTTTTTTTTTTTTGAGATGGAGTTTTGCTCTTTTTGCCCAGGCTGGAGTGCAGTGGCATGATCTTGGCTCACTGCAACCTCCGCCTCCTGGGTTCAAGCAATTCTCCTGCCTCAGCCTCCCACGTAGCTGGGATTATAGGCACGTGCCACCGTGCCTGGCTAATTTCGTATTTTTAGTAGAGATGGGGTTTCATCATGTTGGCCAGGCTGTTCTTGAACCCCTGACCTCAGGTGATCTGCCCGTCTCAGCCTCCCAAAGTATTTTTATCAACAAAAAAATCATCTTGTGTGTGCCTTCCTGCCAGAAACACTGCTGTGAGTGCTTCCCTCCTGAGGCCCTTCCCCAAACACAGCCACACGTGGACCCAAAACCCAACTGTGCCGTGTGTCCGCCCAGCCCAGCCACGGCCACGTGTCCCCCCACCCACCCATGGCCGCGCGTCTACCCAAGCCAACCCGGCACAGCCACAGGTGTACCCTCAATCATGGCCACGTGTACACTCCCAACCTGATTATGGCCATATGAGTCTCCCAAACTCAACCATGGCCATGTGTCCACCCCAACCTGGCCATGGCCACATTGGTAGCACAAAACCCAACTGAGGCCACACGTGCACCTCCTGTCCAGCCACGGCCACATGTCCACTTGGTGGCCCCATGTCTACAGGCCCAATTGGTGACCCCCGAGCCTCACCTTCCCTGAGGTCTTCACGCCCTTCCAGAGGCTGAAGTAGAGCAGCACGATGACCAGCACCAGGCAGGCTGTGAGCTGCCACCGCGGAGGCCCCAGGTCGTCGATGCCATGGCTCTGGTGGAGGTGCAGCACGCCACGTCTGCAGAGGGGAGTCAGCGGGGGACTCTGTGGGTGGCTGTCAACCCACCTGGAACTGGACGGCTGAGCTTGTCCGGGGACCTGCCCTCCCCATCTCAGCAGGGCAGAAAGCATCCAGTCTGATGGACAAGAGATGCCTTCCAGGGAGGTCTGGCCCACAGGCCCTGGCAGAGGTGTCAGGGCCGCCCTTGAAACCCGTGGAGCACGTGGGAGGCCCAGGAAGCCCTGCCTCACCATCTGCCCTTGGCACCCCTGCTCACTGGAGCTGCGGAGGCGGAGGGCACCTTGGGTCTTTGAAGAAAAGGAGCCACAGAAACCAAAAGGAAGTTGCTGAGCAATGCTGGGTGCCCACCGCTGCCCAGTGCTGCCCACGCTGCTGGGTGCCCACCGCTGCCCACGGTGCTGCCCACGCTGCTGGGTGCCCACCGCTGCCCACAGTGCTGCCCACGCTGCTGGGTGCCCACCGCTGCCCACGGTGCTGCCCAAGGTGCTGGGTACCCACCGCTGCCCAGTGCTGCCCACGCTGCTGGGTACCCACCGCTGCCCAGTGCTGCCCACGGTGCTGGGTGCCCACCGCTGCCCACGGTGCTGCCCACGCTGCTGGGTGCCCACCGCTGCCCACGGTGCTGCCCAAGGTGCTGGGTACCCACCGCTGCCCAGTGCTGCCCACGCTGCTGGGTACCCACCGCTGCCCAGTGCTGCCCACGGTGCTGGGTGCCCACCGCTGCCCACAGTGCTGCCCACGCTGCTGGGTGCCCACCGCTGCCCAGTGCTGCCCACGCTGCTGGGTGCCCACCGCTGCCCACAGTGCTGCCCACGCTGCTGGGTGCCCACCGCTGCCCACAGTGCTGCCCACGCTGCTGGGTGCCCACCGCTGCCCACAGTGCTGCCCACGCTGCTGGGTGCCCACCGCTGCCCACAGTGCTGCCCACGCTGCTGGGTGCCCACCGCTGCCCACAGTGCTGCCCACGCTGCTGGGTGCCCACCGCTGCCCAGTGCTGCCCACGCTGCTGGGTACCCACCGCTGCCCAGTGCTGCCCACGGTGCTGGGTGCCCACCGCTGCCCAGTGCTGCCCACGCTGCTGGGTGCCCACCGCTGCCCACAGTGCTGCCCACGCTGCTGGGTGCCCACCGCTGCCCACAGTGCTGCCCACGCTGCTGGGTACCCACCGCTGCCCAGTGCTGCCCACGCTGCTGGGTGCCCACCGCTGCCCACAGTGCTGCCCACGCTGCTGGGTGCCCACCGCTGCCCACAGTGCTGCCCATGCTGCTGGGTGCCCACCGCTGCCCACAGTGCTGCCCACGCTGCTGGGTGCCCACCGCTGCCCACAGTACTGCCCAAGGTGCTGGGTGCCCACCGCTGCCCACAGTGCTGCCCACGCTGCTGGGTGCCCACCGCTGCCCAGTGCTGCCCACGCTGCTGGGTACCCACCGCTGCCCAGTGCTGCCCACGGTGCTGGGTGCCCACCGCTGCCCACGGTGCTGGGTGCCCACCGCTGCCCACAGTGCTGCCCACGCTGCTGGGTACCCACCGCTGCCCAGTGCTGCCCACGCTGCTGGGTGCCCACCGATGCCCACAGTGCTGCCCACGCTGCTGGGTGCCCACCGCTGCCCACAGTGCTGCCCACGCTGCTGGGTGCCCACCGCTGCCCACAGTACTGCCCAAGGTGCTGGGTAACCACCGCTGCCCACAGTGCTGCTCACGGTGCTGGGTACCCACCGCTGCCCACAGTGCTGCCCACGGTGCTGGGTGCCCACCGCTGCCCACAGTGCTGCCCACGCTGCTGGGTGCCCACCGCTGCCCACAGTGCTGCCCACGCTGCTGGGTGCCCACCGCTGCCCACAGTGCTGCCCACGCTGCTGGGTGCCCACCGCTGCCCACAGTGCTGCCCACGCTGCTGGGTGCCCACCGCTGCCCACAGTGCTGCCCACGCTGCTGGGTGCCCACCGCTGCCCACAGTGCTGCCCACGCTGCTGGGTGCCCACCGCTGCCCACAGTGCTGCCCACGCTGCTGGGTGCCCACCGCTGCCCACAGTGCTGCCCACGCTGCTGGGTGCCCACCGCTGCCCACAGTGCTGCCCACGCTGCTGGGTACCCACTGCTGCCCAGTGCTGCCCATGGTGCTAGGTGCCCACCGCTGCCCACAGTGCTGCCCACGCTGCTGGGTACCCACTGCTGCCCAGTGCTGCCCACGGTGCTAGGTGCCCACCACTGCCCACAGTGCTGCCCATGGTGCTGGGTACCCACCGCTGCCCACAGGTGCTGCCCACAGTGCTGGGTACCCACTGCTGCCCACAGTGCTGGGTACCCACTGCTGCCCACAGGTGCTGCCCACAGTGCTGGGTACCCACTGCTGCCCACAGTGCTGGGTACCCACCGCTGCCCAGTGCTGCCCATGGTGCTGGGTACCCACCGCTGCCCACAGTGCTGCCCATGCTGCTGGGTACCCACTGCTGCCCACAAGACAGCCCCAGGGTCCCTCTCCAGGGATGAGGCCGAGCAAACTCTAGCAATAATGCCAGGCACACAGGCACCAGCCAGCACTGTTTTCTGAGGGGATGGCTCACGACACCTGCTCACAGCCCCTGCTGCTATGAGGATTCCACAAGGAACAGATTCAGTGGATGACTCTGCTCCAGCAGGAATCACTCGCAGTTCCACTGTTTTTTGAAGGATCCCTCAGAAAGGGCAGAACAGAGGGTGAGGGATGGAGCTGACCATCGGCTGTGCTCCTTGCCCCAGGCACAGGTCCTGGGCCCCCTGTCTGTGGGAACTCATTCCATCCTGGTGACACTCTCTGTGGGAGAACATGCACCAGGCTACATGCAGTCAGCTGCGTCACCACTGCAGACTGTGACTTGGGGCCAAGGCAACTGTAACAGCCGTGCCGCTGCCACCGTAGAGTCAGGAGCTGTGACAGACAGAAGCCGCGTTATGAAAGGAGCTCCCACTGCCCAGGTTTGCTTCTGTTGTGGGTCCACTGAGGTCCCCAGGAGATAAAACCTGACACCCATGGTGGAGCCCGGCCGAATGCAGCCTTGGGGAGCTTTCCACCAGCTGCAAGGCATTCCAGGGCCATGTCCCAGGAATTCGGCTCTTCAAACTCCAGACACCCTGGCTGTTGCCAACAGGGAAGGCCCCACGAGCCCTGAAAGCGCTGGACAGTGCCTCCGTCCTATCCTGGAGGGCGCCCAGGCAGAGGCCCCAGGTTGGCACAGGCCCCAGGTTGGCCGGGTGGGCAGATGGCTGCACCACTGAAACCATCGCCACCATTCTCTGCTCTTCTCCAAGGGCAAGCCGCTCAGTCAAGAGGCTATCCGTCACCCGCACTGTGCAGGGAAAGTTGTCTGAGCTGGTGGAGGTCACGCCTGCCCTTCCTGGGGCAGTGGGGACTCCCAGGGCCTTCTTCTCACTCCTCCTGCCACACACCAGGCTCTGCCCCTGCTGGCCAGTCCCCGTCGTTCTGCTCCCCCAGCAAGGTCTCATCACTGAGAGCTTCTGAGGCCTCCCAGCAACTTTGTGCAGCCCGGACCACTCCTCCCTCACTGCCCATGGTGTCACTGACCCCAGCATGCCACCCGCCCACGCCTTGGCAGCCTCAGTGCCTCACACACACACGTGCATGAATTATACACCCAGACCAGACAGCACACCCTCTCCCCTTGCCCAGGTGCCTGGAGAAAAGGCAAACTCAGTCAATGCCCATACATGGCACAGGCCCTCCTGGACCAGAGGGGGAGGCCCAGGGAAAGTGCGCTGCCCCACTCAGGGCCTTCTCACAAGGTTGCGTCCACAGCACACACAGCTGGCTCAGCATTAAACATGAAAGCAACTTCAGACGCAGCACCTTGACACACTGGGTCGAGCCCCTTCTCGAGATTAGAAAGTCACTGTGCTTTGAGGTTATTTGAAAACCCACAGACAATTTAGAGAACCGGACACTCCTGAGTGCTGTCAACCTGAGAAGAGGGGTCCCCAGAGCTGACCACAGCATGGGAACCAGCCATGCCAGGAGCAGGGGAAAGCTGTGCGTCTCCCAGCATGTCCATGCTTCTGAGGGCAGGGCAGGCGAGACCATCAAAGGACATCCGGGAAGGGGCATAAGTGCAGGCCTACGTGCAGGCGTTTCATAAGCCATAATAGTTGGGAGGACCAGAAAAGTGTTGGCCCAGGATGTTCACCAGGCGTGGAAAAGACACAGCACCTCCCAATTTCTACTGGGCTCTTTTTCCTGGTGAATTCCTGGCCATGATTCAATTGGGTGACAGTGGAGCCACTGGTGGTGATCCAGGCATGCTCAGGCCTCCCATGCATCATTGTGATGACCTCACAGCAGCCCTCTCACCCCGTTTTACCAAGAGGGAGCCAAGGCAGTGAGGTGGTGAAACAAGCTTCCAAAGGATAAAATTGTGCCAAAGCACGTTAACTTCCTATTAGAACAAATCTAACACTCTCTAAACAAAGACGACAAGAGCTAAATACCCATTAGTATAAAACTCACCAAGTCTAGCATCTAATAAAAAATTACTAGACATGACAAGAAGCAAGAAATGTGATCTACAACCAGAGGAAAATCAGTGAACAGCTACTTCACATGATATAGAAAAATTAACCCAAAATGGATAAAAGAGCCAAATATAAGGGCTAAAACCATAAAACTCTTGGAAGAGAACATAGGGTAAATTTTCACAATCTTGGACTTGGCAATGGTTTCTTAGATATGACACAAAAGATGAATTAGACTTCATCAAAATTTAAAACTTTTGTGCACTGAAGGATGCTATCAACAGAGTAAAAAGGAAAACTACAGAATGAGAGAAAATATTCGCAAATCACCTATTAATCTGAAAAGAGAATAATATCTAAAATATGTAAAGAACTCCTAAAACTCAACAACAAAAAAACTGACAGCCCAATTCAAAAATGGGCAAAGGACTTGAATAGACATTGCTCCAAAGATGGTATACAAATGGCCAATAAACACATGAAGAGATGCCCAACAGTCACTAATCATTAAGGAAATACAAATCAAAAATACAATGATAGACCACTTCACACCCATTAGGATGGCTATGATCAAAACAAACAAGCAGAAAGTAAGTGTTGTCAAGGATGCGGGGAAATCAGAACCCTTGTTCCGATTTGCATCCACTGTGGGAAACAGTGTGGTGGTTCCTCAAAAAATTAAACACAGAATTATCACATAGCTCCAGCAATTCAACTTCTGGGTATCTACTCAAAAGTAGGTACTCAATATTGAGGTTCATAGCAGCATGTTTTTACAGTAGCCAAAATGTGGAAGCAACCCAAATGTCCATCAAAAGATAAATAGATCTGGCCAGGTGTGGTGGCTTACATTTGTAATTGCAGTGCTCTGGGAGGCTGAGGCGGGAGGATTACTTGAGCCCAGGAGTTTAAGACAGGCCTGGGCAACATGGCAAGACCCCACTTTACAAAAAATTTTAAAAAATTAGCTGGATGTGGTGTCACATACCTGTAGTCCCAGCTACTTGGGAGTCTGAGGCAGGAGGATTGCTTGAGCCCAGAAGGTCAAGCCTGCAGTGAGCCGTGATCATACCACTGCACACTCCAGCCTGGACAACAGAGTGAGATCCTGTCTCTAAAAAGGAAAAAGATAAATGGATAAACAAAACATGATATATCCATACAATGGAATTGAAATATTATTTGGCCTTAAAAAGGAATGAAATTCTGGTTCTGAAATTCTTCAATAAACCTTGAAGACATATGCTAAGGAAAATAAGGCAGTCACAAAAAAATAAGTGATTCTACTCAGAGGAGGGACCTAGAGTAGACAAATTCACAGAGACAGAAAGTAGAATGGTAGCTGCCAGGGGCTGCAGTGAGGGAGGATGGGGACTTAGTATTTAATGGGGACAAAATTTCAGCTTTGGAGGAGGAGAAAGTTCCAATGGATGATGGTGATGGTTGCACAACATGTGATTGTACCTAATGCCACTGAACTGTGCACTGAAAAATGGCTAAGGTGGTAAAAGCAATGCTATGTATAGCTTACCACAATAGCCCCCCAAGAAGGCAAAATACTTTTGTGTAAAGCCCAAGCTGAATCACTGCCAGCAAGTCTACGCTATGAGAAATGTTAAAGGAAATTCTTTAGATGGAAGGAAGATGGTCTTAAATGGAAACCCCAATCTACATACAGGACCGGACAGCACTAGAGATGGTGCCTATGCAGGTAAATATAAAACATTTCTTTGTTAGATTTATTTAAAATGTAAATGCTTAAAGCAGAAATAACAGCAAGGTATCATGGAGTTGATACATATTGTAGAAAAAATCTATGACAACAATTGCACAAAGGATGTGAGGAAAACAGAAGTCTACTGTTGTAGGCCCTTCTGCTCTGTGAAACGGTATCATGTCACTTGAAGGTCAGTGTTGTAAACCCTATAAAATCCACGAAGAAATGAAAACAGAAAGCTATAGTTTATTAGCTAATAGTGTTGATAAAATGAAAGCCTAAAAAATTAATTCAAAACAGGGAATAAATAGAGGAAACAAGAAACAAAGAAGAGAGGGGGCAAAAAATTAGCACAATGAAAGACTTAAAGCCAGCCATGCTGACAATTATTGAATGGAAACTCTAATTAAAAAACAGAGATTGCCATATTGGATAAAAAGCACAACCAACTCGATGGTGTCTACAATAAATCCATTTTATATATAATGACACATATAGTTTAAAAATAAAAGGCTGGAAAAGATAATACCACACAAACAGTAATCATACGAAAGTTGGGGTGGCCATATTACTATCAGACAAAGTAGACTTCAGAATGAGAAATCTAACCCAGAAGGATAGTTCAAATGGTAAAGCGGTCAATTCAAAGACTAATAATAATAAACATGTATGCACTTCATAGCAGAGTTTCAAAATATGTGAATGAAGCAAATACTGATAGAAGTGAAAAGAAATAGACAAATCTACAGTTATAGTTGAGATTTCAGTACCCCTTTCTCAGTAACTGATAGAGCAAGTGGACAGAAAACCAGTAAGGATGTAGAAAACCTGAAAAACACAGTGACCTAACATAACCTCTCTGACATTTATGCAACTTTCCAACCAAAGACAGCAGAATACATATTCTTTCTAGGTGCATGTGGAACATTCACCAGTGTAAACCATCTAGTAGGTCATAAACAAGTCTCAATATATTTTAAAATATTAAAGATGTATAAGCATATCATCTTGCCAAAACAGAATTAAATTAGAAATCAATAACAAAAATACCTAGCAAACTTCCAAATATTTCAAATTAAACAACAAACTTCTAAAAATGCCCTGTTAGTCAAATAGAAATCAAAAGAAAGATTAGGGAATACTTTGAACTGAATGAAATGAAAACACAGCATATCAAACTTTGTGGGATGCAGCTAATGCAGTCCATTTGAGGCAAATTAATAGCTTTAATTTATAACTTTATAATTTATATTAGTCAGTGTCGATAAGTATTTATGGAAGTGGGGAAACTGTAAACTGGTCACAGTTATGTGGTCCTGTGTTGGGGTTTTGAAATGAAAACACAGCATATCAAATGTGTGGGATGCAGCCAATCAATAATCTCCAGGTTCCTACAAGGAAGGGTTCCTTTTATTTCTCTCCAGGAACCATTTCTGCCACCTCCCTCTGGTGGGTGGGCTGCTGCCCAAGAAGGAAGTGGCAATGCAGGAAGGCTGGCTGGGACCCCTGGGGGCCAGGGGTGCCAGCAACTCCCACAGGATACGTTTCATTTGCCAACCCTGAGGAACACTGGGTGTAGGAGCCAGCACTGCACACGGCATTCATGGCACATGGAGGAAGCACCGTTAGTGGGGCAGCTCAGCATCTTTTCTGACTTAGGGCCCAGAAGACATGGCCAGCGTCTCACCCAGGCCTCACGGTTACTTCCTGAGGACCTGTAGTAAAAACGCACGATAAAGCCCTTTCAGATCTACTCTTGCTAACATCTTAGTTGTCAAATTTATGACACGTCATGTTTCGTACATTGTGTAGGAAACTCAATCCCTTTTGTGTTTACTGACAAAGTCAGGCATGCCCATTATCTAGGACAAAGAGCTGCACTGTCACACATCACAGCCACTCTGGCCTTTATGGCCTTTCACAGTGACACATCCACTCCCTGATTACATGCGCTGGCAGGAACCCGACATCCTTTGTCCAGTGATCTGCTTTATAAAGCAGGTTTGAAATCCAGAACACCCCTGGCAGACCTGAGTACGTTATGACTGTCCTCCCTGCTCCCCAAGAGTCACTGGGGCCTGTTTCAGGGGAACCTCAGTCCCACTGGTGGGAAAATCACCTTCAGAAGGTGTGGGAGGAGTGCCAAGCACCTCAGTGCCTTGGGTCATTAATCATTTGTGAATTGATCTTAAACCTTCTCCAACTCCCCACGTCTGCTCTTGAGCTGCCGCCAGCTAAAGTGTACCACGTGCCAGTGCGGACAGGGCTTCTGAGTGAAGGGCTGGGCACCTTTCTGTTTCCTTCCTTCCTTCCAGACTGAGAACTTCCAAATAGACTTCGCTAGTCTGATCGTTTAAAATAATAACACGTGTTCTTTCCTTCTAGCATTCTTAACAACGAATCACTGGACTAATCACTACACTAAGTTTTCCTCTCCAATTCTGTTATCTGAACATCACTTCAATGAGTCAACATTTCCCACACTGCCCAAACAAAAGGAAGGCAGTCCCCACATGGCAGCACTTGGCAGCTTTAACAGGGCGTTGGGTACCGGGAACTCTCAGGCTCTTGCCCTGGTGGCACCTCTGCGGCCACTGCCCCTGGCTCTGTGTGCCCCCCACTTTCTCCTGCTGTCCCCTCTCTTTGATCACATGCTAACCCTGAGAGCTGGGCACACAGCAAGAGCACATGCAGCCCAGGCCT
The DNA here is from genome assembly GCF_000001405.40 of Homo sapiens. NCBI lineage: Eukaryota > Metazoa > Chordata > Mammalia > Primates > Hominidae > Homo > Homo sapiens. Next base: position 79,925 of record NT_187547.1, on the reverse strand, counting down.
GGGGTGCTCATAGGGTGTTTAATTAGGGAAATGTAGGTGTGAACAGGCCATCCACACGCAATGGGAGTTTTCTCCCTCGAGAATGTTAAAATCTACTTGGACAAATGGTGTGACTGTGCATTATTTGGACGATTTTATCATTTCCCGCTTGCCTGTCACCCACGAGAGTCCTGCCCAGACTCTCCCACGACCTTGCCTGCAGCTGCGCTTCCTATGGCGATGCTCGTCCAAGTGTCTTCAGGCAAACAACCAGGACTCATCCCGGGTGCATCTTCTCTCCCACCTGCCCCACCTTCTGAAACCAGCCCTCCTCCCATGAGCGTCTTCCTGGCGCCCCAGCCTGGACTCTCTCTCCTCCTGCTGGGTACTTGGTGGGCCACTCTCTCCCATCGTGGCACCGTCCTCCTCAGAGTTCGTCACTCTTGTCCACTCCCAAACCACAAGAAAGGCCCACACAACGCTCACCCCACGCGACCCATGGTCTTCCTCATGCTCTAAGAAAAACGCCGGGTGGCCCCCCAAAACCTGCCTCCGCCCCGGCTCCTCACCTCCAAGGCCAGTCCCGGCAATATGCTTCCATGCCCGAGGAGGAATTCTAGAACCAAGCACTTGGGTTCTGAATATCTGAGTGCAGAGCAGTTTGAGAGACCGAACGCCTGCCCACCATGAGAACTGGTCCCTTTCCGGCAGCATCAGCCCTACTTTCTCCAAGCCACACCCTCCGGCCTGCCCGAAGGCTCCATCTCAGCCATCTCTGACAAGACCCCCAGGAGAGGGCGAAGGTCCCTTCCTTGCAGGAAAAGACCTCAGTGATGTCTGTTGATACGGTTTTCAGATATAGAAAGCATCTCTCTGGGAGGCTGTGCGCCCCGAAGGTGCCCTTGCAGACCAAGACCAAAGTTCTCGGGGATGATCCTCCCCCAGCAGAGGCGAGGTGGGGGCTTCTCTGCTCACCGTGACTTGTACAAACTTAACATGAGATGCTTCATTTGCTTTCAAGCTCCCTGTTTTCTGACTCAAAACAAATTTTGCAAAGGCACCTACTGGCTGTTAAAACTGGAATTAGTCTTACTGGTCAAAGTTCCTTTTCCTACCTTGAAGTGGACTCATTTTGGCATATAAACGTGAATAAGATGCGTCTAACCAGGCAAGCGAGCCCCCCAAACAGGAGCGCCCTGGCTGACGGGAAACACTGGATCTGGGGAGAATCGCGCAAACGTCCTCTCCTCCTCTCCAAAATGACGGCTGAGTCGAAGAGTCCGCCTGTCAGAACGGCGACCCGGCACGAGGCCCCAGGCCCGGCTGGCGAGGGCAGGAAGATGTGGATGGCACCCGCCAGATCCAGATTCCGGGAGGGGTCCAGGGGAAACAGGGAACCCCTGGGTGTCAGTAACGACCCTTCCAGGCTGGGCCAGGCCATTGGTGACGAGGGAGGGCCAGCAGGAGCTGGCACGGGGCCCAAAAGGACTTCATCGGAGACATCGGGGTCCAGGAAAGCAGGTGCTGCAGGTGGATGGTGAGGGGCGGGCCTGGCCTGGGTGGACAGTGAGGGACGGGCCTGGATGGGGTGGACTGTGCGGGTTGGGGCTGGTCGGGGTGGACTGTATGGGTTGGGCCTGGCTGGGATGGACAGTGAGGATCAGGCCTGGCCGGGGTGGATAGTGAGGGATGGGCCTGACCAGGGTAGACAGTGTGGGTTGGGTCTGGCCGGGGTGGACGGTGAGGGGTGGGCCTGGCCGGGGTGGACCATGAGGGGCGGGCCTGGCCGGGGTGGACGGTGTGGGGTGGGCCTGGCCGAGGTGGACAGTGAGCGAGGGGCCTGGCTGGGGTGGACTTTGTGGTTTGTGCCTGGCTGGGGTGGACAGTGAGGGTTGGGCCTGGCTGGGGTGGGCAGTGAGGAACTGGCCTGGCTGGGGAGGACTGTGCAGGTCAGGCCTGGCCAGGGCAAAGGGAGAAGGAGACAGAGACCCAGGAGGCTGCTGGACATGGGATACGCTGGCATGGGAGGTGGAAAGAGGCCCAGAGACAGAAATAAAGCCATGCAGGTAAACAACAAAACAAAGTCTTGTGAAAAGCGGACGGCTGGGTCACCCTGGAGACAGGGGCTGCCTACTGAAGCCAGAGACTTCTTGCGCAGTGACACCCAGAAAGTTATCTTTTCTGGAGAGGGCAAGGGCCGGAGTGAGGCAGTTCGGCCCCATGCTATGCACAGAGGAAGGGTAGGGAGGAAGGGAGCCCAGACATGGGGCTGACTCACTCCAGAGGCGCCACTGCAGCTCCCAGAGACTGGAGCTTGCCCACCTTCTGCACAGGGTCTGCTGTGTTCCCCATCAGCCCCCTCCCACCCTGAGCTGCCGCTGGGAGCAGCCAAGGGAGCTGCTCAGTGCCCCATCCTTGCTGAGGGCTCGCCCTACAGGAGCTTTGCTGAGCTCCTGGAGACCACCACAGTGATTCAGAAATGTGCCCCTCCAGAGCACTAAAGGGATGGAGTGCAGGAACAGATTCCCCCTCCCCGCACCCTGGGAGTCAGCAAGGGCTGGTGTCCAACCAAGGGGCTACCATGGGGGACCTGGCTGCGCCATCTCTCCCGTTCCCGAGGACCCGACTCCCACTTACTCAAAGTACTCGGCAGCAGGTGTGGTCCCAAAAGTGTCGTTGAGGCCCGAGCTGTCTCCACTGGAGTCACCAGGATGGGCATCCGAGCAGTTGGGGCTGTTCCAGGAGTTGTTGCAGTGGATCCAGGGGAGCTCCGTGGTGAAGGAGGAGAAGAGATAGTGCAGCGCCCAGGCGATGATGACGTTGTAGAAGAAGCCGACATACAGTGAGATGAGGATGACCGTGAAGCCCACACCTAGCGGGAAGGGGGAGGCCATGGAGCCCACGCAGGTGGAGCACAGAGCCACCATCAGCAACGTGTCCCTTCCACCTCCCCTCACGGGAGACATTACCCTGAGCCCACAACTCCTGGACAGCCCTGATGCCAGACAGCATCTTCAAACATGCAGGGAAGGCCCGTGAAAGGCCTGAGACCAGATTTCACACTGTGACCACAGAGAAGAAGCTGCCCACTCCCCAAAACCATGCACTCCTACACAAGGACTTTCAGGGTGTCTCTGAGAGACATCCAGAGCCAGCAAGGTCACCCAGAGCTATGGCGAGTATCCAGGGCCACCCTTATGCACCCAGAGACCCCCAGGGACACCAAGGTCACCCCCAGCCACATATGGTCATCCATCCCCACCACAGCCACTCAGGATCCATAAGAGTCATCCAGGATCATTGAGGCCATCTAGGGGGTACTCTGGGTGACCCAGGGCAACCCAACTCATGGTTAACCAGGGCTATCAGGCCCATGTGAAACCATCAGAATCATCCACGGCCACCCAGAAGCACCCAGGGCTACCTAGGGAGCCCATGCAAATAGGGCCATCAAAGGTCGTCTAGGGTTACCCAGGAACACCCAGTGTCTCCCAGAGCCATCAAGACTGCCAATAGTCACTAAGGGACACCTGGGGTCCTTGACAGCCATCCACAGCCACCAGGCTCATTCAGGACTATGGAGGGCACCCAGGACCACATATGGCCACCCAGGCTAATCCAGGGCCACTTTGAGTCGCAAAGGGCCATCCATGGCCATCCACAGCCATCTCCATTCATCCACAACTATCCACGGTCAGCTATAGCCATCCTCAACCATTCATGGCCATCCACGGCCATCCACATCCATCCGCAGCCATCCACAACCATCCATCCATCCACAGCCATCCACAGTCATCCATGGCCATCCACATCCACCCCTGGCCATCCACAACAATCCACTGTCATTCACAACCATCCACAGCCATCTACAGACATCCACAACTATCCATGGTCATCCATAGCCATCCACAACCATTCATGGCCACCCACATCCATCCACGGCCATCCACAACCATCCATCCATCCACAACCATCCACAACCATCCACACCCAACCACAACCATCCACATCCATCCACAGCCATCCATAGTCATCCATGGCTGTCCACAACCTCCCACATCCACCCGGCCATCCACAACAATCCATTGCCATTCAAAACCATCCACAGCCATCTACAGACATCCACAGCCATCCACAGCCATCTGCATTTGCCCATAACTATCTACGGCCACCCATGGCCATCCACAGCCACCCATGGCCATCCAGAGCCATCCATAGCCATCTATGGCCATCTGTGGCCATCTATAGCTGCTCATGCCTCTCCTGCAAGACTACTCAGAAGAGTCATCTGAGCTCATTTACAGCCATGTGGAGCCATCCAAGGTCACACTACCCATGCATGACCATCCAGGGTTTCCTAGAATCACCCAGGGCCACGTAAGACCACCAGGGTCCACCCAGGGCAGGTAAGATCATCCAGGGCTTCCTTGGGCCACCCAGAGCCTTGCATGACTATGAAGGACTACTCAGAGCCATGTTTGACCTTCCGAGGCCTTCCAGGGCCATGCAAGACCATCAAGGACCAGCCAGGGCCATCCATGGCCATGCAATGCCATCCACGGTCTTTTAGAGTGTCCTTTCCAGGATCACAGACCTGGAATTTGGGATCCATCATTTATGGGGTCTCCTGGTAAACTGGAACAGAACTCAGTGGTCAGCAGTCTTTGGAGTGGTGTCAGCCTGACTGGTGGGCAGATGGGCCTGGTGGTCAGATGACTTCCTCCTTGTTCACTGCTGGATGGGCACCATCACGTTCTTGCTACTGGGGTTCACTTTACTAAGCTCCAGGAAGAATTTTTTTCATTTCCACATTTCTTCTCAGTTTACTGACATGATTAGTTTGGGTACAACTTTGATTTACTTTATTAAAACCCAGTAGGCACCATGCCGTCTTGCCTGTTCATGGCCGGGGTAGGAGCATACCTTCAAGGTGACTTTTGCAGGGGGTGGCCTGGGTTGCTTTTTATAGTCTCAATCCTTAGGAGAAGCTGTTCTCATGCTCAGGGCACCTCAGTAAAGTTCTCTTCCTACCTTGAAAGCAAAAAGAAGACTCAAAACTTTGTTTTAAACAAATCTAAGATCAGGAGTGCGGGTAATCCCCCTTGGAAAGCATGCTCAGTAGTGGTGACGATGAAAGCCAAGCTGCTGCCTTTGGAAGGTCTTCTCCTATGTGGATCTGGTCCATATTAAATAATTCTGTATTGCAGTCTGTCATGGATTGCCTTTGAAAAGCCTTCTCCCATATGGATCTGGTCCATATTAAATAATTCTGTATTGCAGTCTGTCACGGATTGCCTTTGGAAGGCCTTCTCCCACGTGGATCTGGTCCATATTAAATAATTCTATATTACCGTCTGTCCGGAGTCCCTTAGGAGAGAGGCTGGGTTGTGATCCACAGTGAACTCACCCAGGCAGCCAGGTTGGGAGCCACACTGTCGGTGAGCCACATTGTTTCCAGAGAGCACTGTGGAGGGTTTTCCATGGTGGTAACTGACAATGGATGCCCAATTTGAAAATTTTTCAAGGTTAAAACTTTCTGTATCAAGTCCTTAGCTTGAAACCCTGGGAAGTCCTTGATCAAACAACACCAGAGTGGATCCCAATCCAGAGTCCGAAGGAAGGGCTGAGTGTACCCTGGGTCCTTCCAGAGCCACTGCTTTTGTTTCCTGCCCTGCACCACAGATTGGCAGGGCCACCATGGGAGCATGACATCACCATGGCCACTGTGCATGACATCACCACTGGCCACACTGGCTGATGCGGCTCCCAGAGCAAATGGGCCTGCTCTGATCCATGGGACAGTGCAGCCCCCACACCAGAGTCCCCCTTACCAAGAGGACCCCTCCTGGTTGAGGATGCTTCCCTGGGCACCTGGGTGAGGAAATGGCTCCCTTGAACAGTGGTGGCCAGTCCCCTCCTGGATGCTTCCCTGGGCACCTGGGTGAGGAAATGGCTCCCTTGAACGGTGGTGGCCAGTCCCCTCCTGGATGCTTCCCTGGGCACCTGGGTGAGGAAATGGCTCCCTTGAACGGTGGTGGCCAGTCCCCTCCTGGATGCTTCCCTGGGCACCTGGGTGAGGAAACAGCCTTGAACGGTGGTGGCCAGTCCCCTCCTGGATGCTTCCCTGGGCACCTCGGTGAGGAAATGGCTCCCTTGAACAGTGGTGGCCAGTCCCCTCCTGGATGCTTCCCTGGGCACCTGGGTGAGGAAATGGCTCCCTTGAACGGTGGTGGCCAGTCCCCTCCTGGATGCTTCCCTGGGCACCTGGGTGAGGAAATGGCTCCCTTGAACGGTAGTGGCCACTGTCAGCACTGGCCAGGCATTCGGTTGCTCCAAGCCCTGCCCTTCAGGAAGGCAGAGCCCGTGACCTGGGCCACTGACGTGTAGCCCCTCACCAACCAGCCAACTTCACCACGAGCTCCTCAAGCTCACCGAAGGCCCAGACGCAGGAAACCCACTACCCTGTTGGCTACAGAACCTTCTAGTGATCTCTGCTCATGACATCACTGTGGGCTCCAGATGAAGCTTCACCTGACACATTTCTTAAACACCATTTAGTGACACGGGAGACTGTCTCCCCAAGGAGGTGGCAGGCAAAGTCCCTGCTCGCGTTTCCAGGGAAAACATTCATGAGAACATGGCGCTTCCCTTCCCTCCTGTCTGACTCCCAGGAAGCTCGGCGCTAAGTGTGAATTTCAAGCATAGCTTTTAAGGCCCATTTCCTTAAATTTATTTTTGCTTAGTATCTTTTTCTTTATATTAACCTTGTGTGTAGTTTGTTTTGTGTTTGAGAAATCACACTAAAATATGACTGACTATAAAATATTTTATATTCAATACAATCGAATGGTGGGGTTTCCAGGGCGTCTGTAAAATGGGGTTGCCCTTGGCAATGAAACCGAAACCTGACAAACAGAAGCTGGCTGAGGGTCGTGCCTGCAAATGGTGCTTCGCCCACCAGAGCACGGCCACCCTGCCCCACCCCTGAACACCAGTACACCCCAGGGCACCCACGAGAGCTGGCTTCAGGAGAGGGTGTTGTCAACGCATGCACGGATCCCGCTGGAGGAAGCCTCTGGTGGAGCAGCCCCTCCATACCTCACAGGAGGCATCAAGCAGGTCTTTGGAAGAAAGACGGGAGAGGGCCGGGCACGGTGGCTCACTCCTGTAATCCCAGCACTTTGGGAGGCCAAGGCAGGCGGATCATGAGGTCAGGCAATCGAGACCATCCTGGCTAACACGATGAAACCCCGTCTCTACTAAAAATACAAAAAATTAGCGGGGCGTGGTGGCACGCACCTGTAGCCCCAGCTACTCGGGAGGCTGGGGCAGGAGAATCGCTTGAACCCGGGACGCGCAGGTGACAGTGAGCCAAGATCGCGCCTTTGCACTCCAGCCTGGTGACAGAGCGAGATTCCGTCTCACAAAAAAAAAAAAAAAGAAAAGAAAAGAAAAGAAAGAGGGGAGAGGACGCCTCTCTGTGTCAGTCTGGGTGTCTTTAGTATGTGCTTGCTGTGTGTGCATGTACCCGAGAGACAGAGAGGAGAAGAGACAGAACAGGAGAGAGACAGAGAGGAGAAGAGACAGAACAGGAGAGACACAGAGAGGAAAGGAGGGAGAGAGACAGAAAGAGACACAGGGAGAGGGAAAGAGAGCGAGGGGAAGGGAGGAGACGGAGAGTTTTAAAGACCCACCTCTCAGGACCCTGGGGTGCACTGCGGGGCTGAAGGCCCCAGAGGCCCCTCTGGCTGTGGTGCCCATCCCAAGCTGCTCTGGTGAGACTACGGGAAATGCACGTGAGTCATGGCTGCTGAGCAGCTGGGCCTCACCATGAACTCCGCCCTCTGGCTTTCAAGGGTGGATCTTGGCTCCCAGTTAGGAGCAGGGAGCAGCTCGCAGGTCTGCAGGAGGGGAAGGGCCAGGAACAACCAGGCTTCCTGGAGAGCTGGCTTCATTCCCCCATGGAATTGCCACCTGCTCAGGGCTGGATGGCCTTTTAGCTCCACAATGATTGTTGTGGGCACTTTAGCTGATGTCTTAATTTACCACGTGGCACTTCTATTCAATGAGACATGAAAACGTATGCATTTTTATTAACCAGATTTTTAAAAAGGACAAAGGCACATGTATCAGGGTGCCGGGGGTGCATGGTGTACATCTGATTTCATAAGCAATGTCAGTCTCCTCTAAACTGGCATCCTGCGCTTGACAGGTAGGCAGAACAAACGGGACGCTGGCACCGGAACCTGCAGCGTTACTGAGATTCAACAACTCAAGGTGTCTCGTCTCTAAAAAGAAGTCCAGCTTTCTTGCACTGATTCATCTATCCCTTCGTGGGTCGAACAGTTCACTTTCTGTGATTTGCAATTTTCCTTCCTCACCAGGACTAGGTGAGTGTGAACAAGCTCTTCCAAAGATCCGCCCGCAGGGCCACGAGCCTTCCTTCCTGCGGCCACACTTTGCAGCCCTCCTCTGGGACTAGTCTTCAGAACGAAGCTGGCGGCATGGAATGCGGGATTGTGGGCACAGGGTCTGTGACACAGAGGAGACGACTGCCCAGCTTACCCCGGCTGCGCATTGTGGAGAACACGATGATATGCCCACATCCGCCGGCTGCATTTCTTCAGAACGAGGTGCCACTGCTCACGCTGATGGAAGTCAGAGGTTCTCTACTAGCCCAAGTTGAGTTGGTGCTCTGAAATTCTTAGAAATTGCTTCTTGACATTTTATGGACTACACCATGAAGACCCACAACGGCAGCTTTGTTGGTGAACATCCTTTCTGTGTGACAGACGGAAGGAAATGAGCTCTTATCTGCGGACCTACAGGTCCCTTTTTCTCCTGCCCTCCTCACCTGAATCCTGCACGTGAAGAGGTGATTTAACTTGCTCCAACACCAGGCTCACTGGCGGGAGTGGGGCACAGGGCTGTGCCTTGTAAGACACTTGTGACAGACTCCAGGGTGGCTCTTGAAAATCCAGCAAAGCACAGTTGGATGTCGCTGCAGCCTGTGCCAGAGCACAATGTCATCTTTCCTCAGTTTCCCCTACCCCAGTGGGCCGGCTTCATCTCTGACTCAGCATCCCAAGGCTCTGAGCCCTCAGATACTCTCCAACACGGACCACGGTGCAAGCTCAGCATCGCTTACGACTGCAGGCTCAGAGGCAGCACTCCTCTCTGAAACACGTCCGTGCCGCTGGCCAGGGCCAGGCAGGACACAGGTAACGCGTGTGTCTTGAACTGTTAGCCTGGGTTCACTGCAACGCCGGATTTGACACGCGCCCCTGTCTGTCTGTAACAACAGGCCTGGGTCTTCCGTTGGCTGCTGCATTCTTCCATTGGGGACCTGATATCAGGGACCTGACGACGGGGACGGAGGCATGTTCTGAGCAATTCTTGTACGGTTTGACTTCTACCTGCAGATCCCGCCAAGGGGTCGTCTGGCACCAGTGCATGCCCAAAGCATCTGTCTCTCACTCTGAAGATGTGTGTGGGGTGGGGGTGGGGGTGGGGGTGGGGAGGGAGGCCTCTTTTTGTAGCTCCATTTCAGTGCAGTCCAGTGAATGTGGAGCCCAGGAAGAAATTACTGAAGTCATAAGATTCACTAAGCAGCCCATTAAGAACGAATGAGTCTCGTGCCTGGGAAGAACCATCACACCTGTCCAGTCTCAGCATTTCCACGGCTGCGAGACTGACTTCTCCTCCTGGAGCCTGACCTCAGCAGCTGTGAAATGCCATCTGTTCCCTCTCCTAAGGGAGGTCAGCGGCTCGCCTCTGAAGGCCCACCCCTGACCCATTGGTAATGCGTCCTGGGGCCGTGCTGGGCTCGGCTGTCTTCTAAACACACAGCTTTTCCAGAACTTCTATGAGTATCCAGAGGCTGACCTTCTAGTAGTCATTTTCTTAATGCCAATTTTCTGAGTGGTGCCTCTGAGTAAATGCCTGAATCCTCCCTGAACCACCAGCCCCTGAGAGGTGGCTTTGGCCCACTGGGCAAGTGTGACCTGCGTGCAGGGATTGGGGAGTCAGAAACGTCTGGGATCAAATCCCACTCTGCTCTGATGGGGACACCAGGGGGAACGACCCCGGCCCTCTGGTCCTCAGCATCTGCATCTCCAACACAGAGACCTAGTGTGTGCCCTTCCCAGGGTCTCATGAAGATGGAGTCAGAAATGCTGGGAGAGGGCTTGGTGCTGGGCAGGCCACCTGCACTCAACACGAGGTGTGTCCATTTCATGGTGCCAGAGCAGGACATCAGCAGCCGGAAAGGTTCAGTGACAACTAGATGGATCAATAGCTAGTAGATAGGTGGATAGGTCGATAGGTGGATGGATGGATTAATCCATACATAGATGAATGGATGGATGGATGGAACAATGGATAACAGATGGATGAATGGATAGATGAATAGATAGAAGATGGATGGATGGATAGATCCATAGATAGATGAATGGATGAATGAATGGATGGATGGATAGATAGATGGATCGATAGGTAGATGGATGGATCAATAGATAATGGATGGATGGATGGATGGATGGATGATAGATCCATAGATAGATGAATGGATGGATGACTGGATGGGTGGATGAATGGATTGATAGGTGGATGGATCAAAAGAAAATAGATGGATGAATGGGTAGATGACAGACGGGTGAATAGATGATTGACAGATAATAGATAGATAGAATTGTGGGATGTGTCCCTCCCCCAAGTTCATCTGTTGAAGTTCTAACCCCGCAAACCTCAGAATGTGACTTTATTTAGAGACAAGGTCTTTACAGAGGTGATCAAGTTAAAGTGAGGTCATTAGGGTGTCCCTAATCCAACAGGACTTCTGGCCTCATAAAAACGGGGAATTTGGTTACAGAGATATGCATAGAAGCAAGAAGTATAAAGAGGCACAGGGAGAAGACAATCTCTGAGACAAGGAGAGAGGCTAGAACAGATGCTTCCTCACAGCCTCAGAAGAAATCAACCCTACAGACACCTTGATCTTGGACTTCCAGCCTCCAGAGCTGTGAGACAATAAACGTGTGCCTTTTAAGCCTCCCAGTTTGTGTCATTTGTTACAGCAGCCACAGGAAACAGATACAGATAGATGATGATGATAGATGGATGGATTAGGTAGATAGGTAGATAGATGGGTGAATGATTGATATAAAGACCAATAATAAAGATAGATAATGGATAGATAGATAACAGATGATTGACGGATGGACCGATGGATGATAGGTAGATGGCAGATCCATAGATAGACATGTGTTTTATCTTAACTACATTTTAGCATCTTGACAAAGTAACACCACAAATGAATTGCAGGACCCTCACCTAGAGCAAGGGAATGAACTATCCAGTCCTTGTCACTGCAGATCTTTAAGGTGGGACCCAAGTTCAAGTGGCGTGTGCCATGCCTGTGTCTTAGCAAAGCAGGGCTGGATGCCCATGATGCGGCTGGCTTGCTTTGAAAGCTCCAGCGTCACCACCATGATCCGCGCTGCGCCAGGGTGAAGGGAGGCACCCGCATATTACCTTTCAGTATGGGGCAGATCTTCCAGACACCAGCGGCCCCTTCCCTGTTGAACTGGCCGAGGGCCAGCTCCATGTAGAAAAGTGGCATCCCAGCAATGACCATGAAGAGCAGGTAGGGGACCAGGAAGGCACCTGTGGGGCAGAAAAGCACCTTTAGTTTGGGGCCTCGGAAGGGCCCATCTCTCCTCGTGGGAGCTTGGGCGGCTACCCCAGTCAACCATCCATGTCCTGGCCCGACCGTTTCACCCCACTCTCCAACGGGAAGTCCCAGGCTAGGGTAGATGAGTCCCGAAGCCCGCCCTCCACTGCTGTCAGTGCCTGACACGTCCCTCCTGGATCCCCTTGTCATTGCGCACCTCGAGCCATGAAGTCAAACCCAAGAGCAGCACAGGGAGGCCCTGCCCATGCTCAGCGGTGCTCTAGGTACTATCCTTCCCCGTGGTGGTTCGGGGTGCCCTTCCCTGGCCTGCGTCCCCCCACTTTGCCCTGATCCTCTTTGCCTCTTGAGTTGTGAATCTGTGACCCCCCAACTCTGCCCCTGAGCTGAGTGGGCCCTGCCGTCCTGTCCCCAGCTTCTGGGGCCCTCAGAGGCTGCCCCTATTGACTGTGGCTGAGGGTCTTTGCTGCCCCAGGTGCTGGGAGCCCCTCCAGGGTAAGGCCTAGTTCCTCTGAAACCTGCACCTCCCCCACCCCCAGCACAAAGCCCAGGGAACCCTGGTCTCAACCTCCTAAATTCCCTCTGCTCCCCTGGTCTGACTGGAGTGAGGGAGAGCTTTGCCACTCTCTCTCCTGGGGAAGGGGAGGGGGAGGCATGGGGCCCCTCAGCTCTGTCTTTGGGCAACTTCCTGTACCTGCTGAGGCCTCTGTCTTCCCCTCTTCAAGATGGGCATAAAAATGCCAGCCTCCTCGCAGGCATCCTGTGAGGCTTCCCCCCAGATTCTTCCCCAGGCCTCCCTTCCCAGACCTAGCATAGAGGCCAATGAGGGAGGCCAGGCAGGGAGGCTGGGAGGCCCAAAGAGGCTCCTGGGAAGGGATCACCAATGTTCTTGGACGTCCCCGGTGGCCCTGCCTCGATCTTCGCTTTCTGGCTCTGTGGCTGGGTTCTGGAGGGTGCAGGGGACACAGTCACTTTCCAGGGGCCTCCTCTGCCACTCCAGGCTCCAGGGCCTCCACATGCTTTGCAAAGGCTGCCAAAGTCAGCCGCAGGCTGTTCTTTGGACCTTTGAGAATTTTCTTTCCAAAGCGAAGATAGCCTCTGGAAACAGGAGGCAGAGCCAAGCTGCCCCGTCTGCCGCCCCCCACCCCCCAGCTTCTTCGCGGGCCTCCCTTTCCTAAACTCTGAAATGCAGGCGTGGGACAAGGCAGCTCCGAGTCCTGCTCAATGGTTTTGTGACATCCTCTGGGAGGATCTGCACCGGCCGTGAGCTCTCACAGGGAGCTCCGTCTTCACGCATGGGAACAGCTTCATCTCGTTTCCGTACGTGCCTTGGCCCCGGCTGCCCCTACGACCCCCGCCCGGCCAGCATGCTCAGGGAGGCTGAGATGGGACTTACCGCCACCATTTTTGTAGCACAGGTAGGGGAACCGCCAGACGTTGGCCAGGTCCACAGCAAAGCCAATGACGGACAGGAGAAAGTCGATCTTCTTGCCCCAGGTCTCCCGATCCTGGGCCTCCACGGGGCTCTGCCGCGGGTTGGTGAGGGTGGAGCTGGTGAGCTGCACTCCGTTCTGCTCCTTGACAAGGATGAGCTCCACCTCCTTCGGGCCCACGGCATTGGGCTCCTTAGCCGGGGCCACCACGGAAGACATGAGTCCCACGGAGCATTTGCTCTTACTCATGGGCACACTGGGAGTTGAGGAATTCTGTGCTTCTTCCCTCTTGGTCTTCAGCCAATATGAAAAATAAACACACAACAGGAACGCAACAATTCAGCAGCCAGGGCTAGGGACATACCTGGTGCGGAGGGCAGAGCCCCGAGGCATTCACGGGCATTCCTCTGGGAAGGGATGGGTGCGTTCTCAGCGCCTGAGATGGTACAGCTGGGGCACGGGAGCTGGGAAGTGCCAGCCCTCACCACAGGGCTGGGGCACTGGCCCATGGAGGCCTCAAGACAGACACTCTGGTTTGCTCCTCCTTCCCCTGCACCCCTCCCCACTCCTATCAAAGTGCAAGGCTGTGTGAGCTCTAGCGTGGCTTTCTACTAACAATGCATGGATATCACTTCCACCTTCCCCCACACTTCCAGAGAGCAATTTTACAATCTTCTAAGAGCATTCAATAATGTCTTCATGACTGTTCATCTGTATTCTTTTTTCTTTTTTTTTTCTTTTTTAACATGAGGTCTCGCTCTGTCACCCAGGATGGAATACAGTTGTGATTACAACTCACTGCCTCAACCTCCTAGGTTCAAGTGATCCTTGCACCTCAGCCTCCTGAGCAGCTGAGACTACAGGTGTGCACCACAGCACCGGCTAAGTTATTTTTGTGTGTGTTTTTTTGTTGTTGTTGTTGTTTTTTTGTAGAGACAGGGTCTGACTATTGTTGCCAAGGCTGGTTTTGAACTCCTGGTCTCAAGCGATCCTCCTGCCTCAGCCTCCCAAAGTGCTGAGATGACAGGCATGAGCCACCAAGCCTGGGCTTGTATTGTTTATACTCAGTAATAAAGAGCAAAATTTATATAAGCAAAATCAGCCACTGTAAAGAGAGTTTAGACATAACCATCACAACTGCTTCCTCAAAAAGTGTCTGTACAAGCCACATCCACCTAGGGCAGGTGGCACCACCCCGCGTGAGAGAGCTGGGCGGAGGATGGACAGGGCTTCATCGCGGGAACTAGCTCCTGGGCCAGCAGGGTAACCCGGGAAATCCTGTCCAAACGGCTACATAAACCCCCCTGCAACGCTGAGCAGGAGAGCAGGAGCGTCTACACCGCCCCAGCCAGGGCGACTTCTGTCATTTGGATCCAGCAGCAGCGTGTTTCAGTCGAGCGCACGCACACACAGACACACAGACACACACAGACTCACAAACACACATACACACTCACACACACACAGGCGAGCACATACACTTACACACATACACACTCACACTCACACAGGTGCGCACACACACACAACGACTGAAGCAGGTCGCAGGTGGAGGCTCTAACAGGCAACTTTCCCTGCATCCAAGTTTGCACAAAACCTCACCCATGAGCTATCACGAGCTATGCCACGCACCCGGTGACAACCTCAACCGGCACGACCCCTCCGGTGGGTAAAACACCCGACGAAGGGGTTCCGCGGCGCGAGCAGGAGGCCGCGTTGGGAGAGGGCGTCGGGTGCGGAGCTCGCGAGTCTCCGGCAAGCCGCCGCCGCCCTGGGGCCACCTGACCCCGCTCCTGAACGCGGGGCCTCAGAGGCGAGTTTTGGGTCTACACAGCAAAATGTGGCCCGTTAGAAAGCGTCCTTCCTCACCGCGCCCAGAACAAGAAGCGGCGCTGCCTGGCGAGTCCTCGCCCGGCCTCCCCGCCCTGCCCAGAGCACCAGCGCGCAGCCCGCGCCCGCCACCACCCCCAACACAGACAAAGCCCCCGCGAGATGGAGCGGCGGTGTACAAAACCCACTCCGATCGGATCTGGGATGCGCCGCACCCCTAGTAGGGTTAAGTTCCACGAGAAGAAACCAGGACCCCCGAGTCACAGCCATAGACACCCACGCGTCCCCTAAGCCGGTGACTGCACCAGGTGCCCACCCGGTTCTGAGCCTGGAGCGGGGCCAGGGGCAGCCCTGCACCCTCCTCGCGCCTCGGACGGCCTCAGGGTCCCATGTGGCGCTATCGGGGGGCGCTCGGCACCCGCGACTGTTGGCGACTTTGGAGACGGCGCGGTCTGCGGGACGCGGGGACCCCAGACTGTGCCCGGTCCCCGGCCCCCGCCCCTGCGCCCCACTTCGGGGTCTGCGGAAGGAGCGGGGCGCCCCGATGCCGCGAGCGACGCTGGCCTCACCTGGCCGCCCGGGCCTGGGCTTTGCACGCGAGTCCTGGCGCCGAGAGCGTTCCGCGAAGCCTCCCCTCCCGCTCCGCAGCGCTGGGCGGTCTCAGCCTCGGCCTCGGGCTCTTATCCAGTAGACAGGGTCCGCCCCGCCCCGCCCTCCCGCCGACGGGGTCGCCCTCGCGTCCTGGCTCCTCCTCCTCACCTCCCCGGGCCGCGCCCCCGCCCCCGCCTCCCGGACGCAGATGGCTGGGAGCAAGCGGCGGCCACGGCTCCACTGTCCTGCGCGTCCCGGAGCCTCGGACACGGGGTGCGGGGGCCTGGGGGTCCGAGACGTCGCGGATCTAGACGGGCGCCTTCCACGCGGGAACTGTCTGGGCCGCCCTGCGCCCTCGCCCGCACCCCTGGGGGCTGCCCCGGGCACCCGCTATCTTCGGACGCCCAGGGCTGGCGGCTCCCAGCTGGACGGGGAGGGAGCCGAGCGGCTGCGCGCGGGGAACTGCTGGGACCCCGTCGGGCCGACCCTTCCCTCCCTCCCCATCAGGGGCCCCTACGGTGGCCCCGCGCTCTGGGGACCACGTCCCTCCCACCCCGCCGCTCCACGCTCTGACCAGCGGGCTCGGGACCCCGCCGAGGACTCTGCACGCTTCCCGGCGTGCGGGCTGCGGAGACGCGGGTCCTTCCGTGGCCTTGGGGTCTCCGCGACCTCGAGGCGACCGAGGTCCCCTAGGCCTAGTCCCCGCCTTGCCGGCATCTAGTGCGCCTGCATCGGAACCGAGGGGCCCGCCTCGCACTCGCCTAAGAAAACCATTTCCCGGGACGGGCCTGGAAAGCCCTGGCGGTTGGTATCCGGCTCCAGGGCCGAATGGACTCCGAGGCTTTCCTTCCGAGATGCCCGGGCGGGATTTCTTCCATTCAGCGCGCGGAGGAATGGAGCCCCCAGGCCGCCAAGGCCCAGGATGTCCAGGTCCTTAGAAGGCACCGAGGTGAGTGGCCGCGCCCAGCTCTGTGCGTCGCCCCTAGGGTCGCCCGAACCCCGGCGTTCCTCCCCGTGTACCCTCGATGCTCCCGTGAGCACCCTGCCCTGGGCGTCCAGGCGAGCCCTGGGGCTCTCCAGCCATTCCAGCCTGCAGCCCGCGCTCAGCAGTGAGGGAGGCAGGGACCCTTGGTGCCTGACTCCGCAGTACCCGCCCGCAGCGCGGTGCCCCACCCCCTGCGCCCGCCCCGCACTCCCCGCACACCACCACTCCCCTCCCCGCCCCCCGCTCCCCCGCTCCCCGGCTCCGGGGCTGGCACCCAGGCAGAAGGCACTCAGGGCTGTGACTTCACGCTGAGTTGGAATCAAGTGGGAGCCTAGTGACCCCCTGGGGCTGCCATGACAAAAAACTCCACAGCCTGGGGGCTCACACAGAAGCCTTCAGTTCTAACGGTTCCGGTGTCCCGAGGCCAAGGCCTGGCCGACTCTGTGTCTGGTGAGGGCCGCTTCGGGGTTGCAGACAGTTCTCTCCCTGTATCTCCCCACGCTAGGGGCTGGGGAGAGCTCTCCGGGGTCTGTTTTATGAGGGCACTGGTCCCATTCCTCAGGGTGGAGCCCTCCTGGCCTGACCACCTGAAGGCCTCCTGACACCACCTCCCATCAGGGGTGGGACTTCATCGCCAGGGAGGTGAGGGGACTTCAGGAGAGGGGGATGTGCCACCTCGAAGCTGTAGTGTGTCAGTGGCTGCCACAGAAGGGATCTCTCTACCCCTATTATCTCCATGGCACAGGTTTCAATAAAAAGGAGTGAGCCAGGGCTTGGCCCCAGAGCAGCAGGGTTGAGGAAACAGTCTCCCAAGGAAAAGACTTTGCAGGTGACTAAGGGAGGCTGTTAAATAAAACACACAGAGAGAATGGATGTTCAGGTATATTAAAAATACACAGGCCAGGAGTGAGGGCTCACGCTTGTAATCCCAGCACTCTGGGAGGCCGAGGAAGGAGGATCTCTTGAGGCCAGGAGTTTGAGACCAGCCTGGGCCACATGGCAAAACCCTGACTTTGAAAAAAAAAATTAGCCAGGCATGGTGGCCCACACCTGTAGTCCCAGCTACTGGGGAGGCAGAGGTGGGAGAATAGCTTGAAGCTGGGAGGTGGAGGTTGTAGTGAGCTGAGATTGCGCCATGGGCCACAGGATGAGACCCTGTCTCGAAACAAAACAACACACAGGCAAACAGCGTTTGGGAAGGGATTGCAAGCGCTGCAGGAGCGCAGAATTGTGACCCAAAGCTAACAGGGTACAGGCAGGAAGGTGCAGGGACTAGAGGTCACACAGATCCAGGCAGCCACATCCTTACTGACCAGTAGCACACAGAGAATGCACCTGCCACACTCAGGAGGGGCCACTGAGTGATCACACGCATGTAACCTGCACTCTGCCAAGACAAAGAGCATTCCTCCACCCCTGCCTCAACCCCGACTTCCAACCACATGAATTAGGATAAAGGAGCTTTGGGTGCTCTAAGAACAAACTAACTGCGGGAGTTGGGCTCATGGATGACACAGAGAAAGCGCAGCTGCCAGACCCATGGGTCTCCATCCTCCCACAACAGGAATGCTCCGTGAACTGTGCAGGTAGAAGCAGTGTGGTTATGAGCTGATCAGACCTGATCAAACGGCCGACCTTTGCATGCTTGGAACTTTGCCCTAAATGCCAAGTCGGCTTTATTATCATTGTGGTTGCTGCTATGGCTGCTGTGGGCTCAGGGCGTTGGGTGCAGGCAGGTGGAGCCCCCCTGCCTCTGCACTTCCTGCCCATGCTCGGCACCTCTCCCCACTGGCTGGGACCGCAGCTGCAGAGCCCACAAGGAGCCCCTGGCCACTGACTGCTGTCTCCAAAGCAACCTTGCCCCACGGGTCCCCCCCTCCTTGGGTGCTGCCTCCTGGGAGGCCCTCAGTGCTGGATGTTGCGCCGTGTCTCGCCTGATTTGGAAGACAGCGTGGATGCTCCCCCCATGAGTGCTGTATCTGAGAGGGGACAAGGACAGTGGCAGTGAGATGACAGTCATTTACCTGCCTGCGTATTTACTATATTGAGGGTGTCCTGTGTGCTTTCAGAGGAAGTCCCAGGGAGCCCAGCTCAGACTTTAAAGACCCTGACCTCTCACTGGTGCTGGGAAGGCCCTGGGGGTAGGGGGCTTGGGGAGGGCAAGGGTGAGGGGACCAGTAGGCAGGAGTGGCTTTTGTCCAGGGGTGTGGGAGGTCAGATCCCAGACCTTGTCTGTCCAGGTTCTGAGAATGATGGAAGGCGCTGGCTCCAGGCAGGAGGCCCTGCTCACTGCTGCACCCCTGTGCCCTCCCCGGGGGCCACCTCAGGAGGAAGATAGTTTCCTCTCGCATGGCAGGGACAGCAGTACACTTCCAATGTCTTCTCTCAGAGCTGTATCATTTTCCGGCTCACTGCTGGTTTTAGTCACAGACATCTTGATGGTCTTGCCACTGCACAGCATGTCACAGTGGTCTGCCACACTGATGACATCAGGCTGAATCAACCTGGGGAGCAAAAAATGAAAAATGCCAAGATGCCTTGGTAAGACACGTGCTTGCTAAAAATTGAAAGAGAAAATAACACATTTTCAAAACCTGCCACCTTGGTGAACTTTCTGTGGGTCCATTGGTCTGATTGGTCAAAATATATATCCAAAATGAAAGAAAACACGCTGTCTCTGGCAAGCAAGACTACCACTAAGAAAGAAGTATCATACCTGGTGAGGCTCTTCCGGTTTGCAAGGTGAGGTGCAAGACACTCGGGGATGCTTCTCTGGCCTGTTTTGTGTTCTTCATAAAGCGTTTGGTTTTGAGTAGGGCCCAGAGTAAGAAAGATTCTGCTGCTGGTCTGGATGGGCAAACTGCTGCCCCAGGAGGCCACACAATCTGGTGTTGTTCTCCGACTTTAGCTGGCATCACAGTCACCTACATAAACCTTTACATGCATAGGAGGCACAGATCACCTCGCTCCATCCTTAGAGACGCAGGTTCAGTAGGTCTGAGGTGGGACCTGAGGACCTGCGTTTCTAGAAAGTTCTCAGGTGACACTGACACTGCTGGCCCAGGAACCACACTTTGAGAACACTGATCTGGCAGAACCAGTGGGAATTGGAGGGTCTGTGGCAGACGGAGATGTTGTAGGCAGCGCAGAAAATAACAGTTGAATAAGAGCTGAACGCTCTCCTGAAAATACGTCCTCTCCTTTTGAGTAAGAGCAGCCCTGAGCCATAGCAGAAACTCAGGGAGCTCTGTTACCATAGAAGCTGAGCGGCCCAGCAGAAGCTATTTGTTATCGGACCCACAGAGGTTGTGTAGACAGCATCCTGCCGTCCTCAGGTGGAATGTTTACGACACAAGGCTTGAGCAGGTCTGGAAGGCGCGGTAAGTTCCATGAACAAGCACCCACTCTTGCTGCATGGAGACCGCTTCCTTAACCCAGACCTCTGGCTACATGAGAGTTTCTTATGACATTGAACGGAGAAAATGCATGCGTTGGGGCCTGGATTACATGTGTCTATACACAGCACACTGCCCCCACCAGAAAGTGAAAGGCTGTGTCATCATGGCCTTCTGTGAAAGACCAGTGAAAGAAAGCTTCCCAGTGGGCACATATTCAAACCATGCATCAGGTTCATCATCTAGCCAAGGAGGGATGGCCAGAGGATGGCCCTAAATGTAGTCATAGGCAGTGGCGAATGGTCTGGCTACAGAGCAGGAGGCTTCAAAAAAATTGAAATATTGATGACAAGATTTTTCTTGGTAGATTTCATGTTTGTAGAAAATCTTGAGGAATTTACAAAAAAAACTACTAGAATTTATAAATGAATTTAGCAAGGCCATGGGATCTGATGAAAACCAATTGTATTTCTATGTACTGGCAGCAAACAATTCTAAAATAAAACCTAAAATAATTTCACTTACAATAGCATCCGAAACAAAATGCTTGGGGATAAACCGTATCCGAGACTTGTGCACCGAAAACCTAGAATCCATTGCTGTGAGAAACTTTTGAAAGTCTAGACAAGCAGAGGAGTGTGTATGTTTATGACTGAAAGGCTCAATATTAATGAGATGTCAGTTCTTCATAAATTGACATACAGATTCAATGCAATCTCAATCAAAATTCTAACTTGCTTTTTTGAAGAAATTAACCAGCTGGTTCTAAAATGTGTTTGGAGATGTGGGTGACCTAGAGTAGCCAAAAGAATCTTGAAAAAGAACAACATTGGAGGACCTAGGAGATGCCTTTCATGATTCCACCATCCTAACAAAACTAATTGGACTTTTTTTCTGTAATTATCTCGGCATTTGTGTCTTTTTAAAAACAGCCTTGCTGAGGTGTAATGGATATGCAATATTCCAAGTGTACGATTTGGTGAGTGACTGATGGGGTCATGGCAACGCGATCACACAGAAGATGATGGCGGTGCTCCTCCCTCGCTGACTTCCCTCTGTCTGTGTCTCTTTACCTCTTCCCATCCCCAGGCAACCACTGATTTGCTCTTTTTTTTTTTCTTTTTGTGAGACGGAGTCTCACTCTGTCACCTAGGCTGGAGTGCAGTGGCACGATCTCAGCTCACTGCAGCCTTTGCCTCCTCAGTTCAAGCAATTCTCCTGCCTCAGCCTCCCAAGTAGCTGGGATTACAGATGCCCGCCACCACACCCAGCTAATTTTTGTATTTTTAGTAGAAACAGGGTTTCACTATGTTGGCCAGGCTGGTCTTGAACTCCCAACCTCAAGTGATAAGCTCGCCTTGGCCTCCCAAAATGCTGGAATGATTTGTTTTCTATGATTACAGAACAATGTGTTTTTAATAGAATTTTATATAAATAGAATTATACAGTAAGTACTGTTTTCTGGGTCTGTTCTTTTGCATTCAGCATATTTGAGAAGAATCCACATCATTGCATCGGCAGTTAATTCCCTTTTAGTTATTTGTAGTATCCATTGTGTGGATATGGGATATGATGTACTTGGCTTTTCCATCTGCCTATTGATGGACATCTGGCTGTTACAAATAAAGCTACTATGAACATTTGTGTGCAAGTCTTTGAACATAGGCTCTCATTACTTTGGGGTAGGTAAGAAGTACTTAGTTGTGGAATGGCTGGGTCATTTGGTAGATATATGTTTAACTATTTTTTTAAAAACTGTTAAATTCTTTTGCAAAGTAGTTGTATC
This sequence comes from Homo sapiens, assembly GCF_000001405.40. Lineage (NCBI taxonomy): Eukaryota > Metazoa > Chordata > Mammalia > Primates > Hominidae > Homo > Homo sapiens. The sequence continues at coordinate 58,237 of NT_187547.1, read as the reverse complement.
ATTTTATATTTCCATGAACAGTGTATGATAATTTTAGTTACTTCATATTCTAATGAATACTTAGTATGGTCAGTCTTTTAAATTTTAGACATCCTAATATGTTTACAGTAATATCTCCTATACTGCTCTAATGAGCGTGATCTTTGAACAATTTCTCATGTGTTAGCTGCATCAGTGCCACTTCGTGTTAAGTGTCTGTTCAAATCTTTTGCACCTTTGGGTTGTTTAATTGAGCTTTGAGAGTTCTTTACTATTCTGGATACCAGTCCCTTATCAGATGGGTACTTTGCAAATATTTTTCCCAGTCTTGGACTGTCTTTTCATTCTCTTAATAGATTCTTTCAGAGAAGAGTTATTAATTTTGATGAAGTCTAATTTATCCATTTTTCTTTCACAAATCCTGCTTTTAGTGTTGTATTTAAGAAATCTTTACCAAATTCATGATCATCAAGATTTTCTCCTAAGTTTTCCTCTAAACTTTTTAAAATTATAGATTGCATATTTACACATAGAATGCATTTTTAAACTAGCTTGGTGTAAGACACCAATTGAAGTTCACCACTTTACCTCCGAAGAGCCAGTTGTTCAGTGTTCTGCTGAGTTGCTTTTGCACCTTTGTTGAAAAGTCAGTTGTATGTATGTGTGTGGGTTTATTTCTGGGCTCCCTGTTTTATGATCTGTTAATCCATTTTGATGCTAATACCACACTTGCTGTGGACTGAATTGTTTACCCCCAAATTCATAGGTTAAAGCCATAACCCCCGCAAGGTGACTTTATCTGGAGATAGGGACTTTAGGAGGTGATTAGGTTAAATTAAATTGTAAGGGTGGGGTCATAACCCAGGAGGACTGTGGCCTTATAAGAAGAGGAAGCTCTCTCCATTTTACTTTCTGCCATGTGAAGATAGAGTAAGAAGGCGGCCATCTGCAAGCCAGGAAGAGAGGCCTCACCAGGAACTGAATCAGCTGCCTTGATGTTGGATTTCCAGTCTCCAGAACTGTGAGAAACAAATGTCTGCTGTTAAGCCCCCAAATCTGGTGTATTTTGTTGTGGCAGCCTGAGGAGATTAAAATGGCACTATCTTCATTATGGTCCTTTTGTAATACATTTTTAAATCAGGTAATGTAAGTCAGACAACTTTGTTCATTTTCAAAGTTGTTTTGCATATTCTCGGTCCTGTGCTTTTTCATATGAATTTTGGAATCAACTTTTCAATTTCTTCCAAAGTCCCGCATGGGATTTCTTCGGGTGGAGGCTGCCATCAATTTTTCATCATTATTCCTTTCTGAGGCAGGCTTCATGTCTAGATTTTCTTCTAAGTTCTGATTTAGCCAAATTCCAAAAGGTTTGATATGTTGTTTTGTTTTCATTCAGTTCAAAATATTTTCTGATTTCCCTTTTGATGTCCTCTTTGACCCATTGTTATTTAGATATGTGATTAGTTTCCAAATATTAGAAGATTGTCTGGATATGCTTCTTTATTTTTTGCCAAATGTATTTTTCATTTTGGTATCAAATTTATTTGCCTCTTTGTTGGAGAACTTGCTTTACATGACCTGAATCCCTAAAGGGAATTTTATGGTCTGGACTGTGGTCGATCTTGGTAAGCTTTTCACATGCATTTGAAAAGAATGTGCACTCTGCTATTATTGGATGAATTATTGTATAAATATCAAATAGGTCATGTTAGTTCGTACTGTTTTTGAAGTCTTCTGTATCCTTAAAAGTTTCTGTGTATCTGTTCTATCAACTATTGGGAAAGAGGTATTGAAATCTCCAAGTATAATTGTGTGAACTGCTCTATGTCTCCTTGCAGTTCTATCAGTTTTTGCCGAATTCATTATGAAGCTATGTTATTAGGTACATAAACATTTGTCCTTTTGGTGAACTGATGCTATCATAAAATGACATTGTTTAGACATGATCTGTTTTGAGGATTCCTATGGCTTGCATATTAGGTGGCTTGAAGTCCCACAGTTCTCTGATGCTTGGTTCATTTTTTTGTCTTTTTTCTTTATTTCATTTTGAACAGTTTGCACTGCCATCTATGTCTTCAAGTTCATGTATCCTTTTCTTCTGAGATGTTGAATCCACCCCTCCTCTCAACCAGTGCATTTTGCATCTGAGACATTGTGGTTTTCATCTCTAGAATTTGGATTCGTGTCTTTTAAAAAATATCTGTCATGTCTCTATTAAACATATTCAGTCTCGCCTTTGGCTAGCTCTTGGAATGAGGTAACAGTTATGATTGTCAATGCCTCTCTAATTCTATCATTTGAGTCATCTCTGGGTCTGTTTCTATTGACTGTAGGTCACATTTTCCCACCTTTTTGCATTGTGCTAATTTCCAGTGGATGCCCAGCATTGTGAATTTAACCCTGTTGGTTTGTGGATAACACTGTACTAATGTGAATATTCTGGAAGTTTGTCTTTGGCCACTGGTAAGGTCCCTGTTGTAGTTTGGTCATTCTTTCAGGTTTTGCTTTTAAGCTCTGCCCAGGAGGACCAGAGCAGTGCTTTGCTCAGGGCTGATGCTTCTTCCCTGCTGGGGCAAAGCCCATCTTAGTTTCCTGCCTAATGACCATGTTTCCCAACGGAGGGTAAATCCAGTCTCTACTCTTCCATTTTGACTGGAAGCAAAAATTGTGGACCCATTCACTTTTCTTTTTCTTTTCTTTTCTTTGAGATGGAGTCTCACTCTGTTGCCCAGGCTGGAGTGCAGTGGTGCGATCTCAGCTCTCTGCAACTTCTGCTTCCTGGGTTCAGGCAATTCTCTTGCCTCAGCCTCCAGAGTACCTGGGATTACAGGCGTGCACCACCACACCCAGCTAATTTTCATATTCTTAGTAGAGACAGGGTTTCACTGTGATGGCCACACTGGTCTGGAACTCCTAACCTTAGGTGATCTACATGCCTCAGCCTCCCAAAGTGTTGGGATTACAGGCATGAGCCACTGCGTCTGGCCCCCATTCACTTTTCTTACATTTAAGGGAGTTAATCTGCACCTAGCCAGCCCTTGACAGTGTCACATGACAGACAGTGGCCTCCTCATCAGTATTGCTGTTTCTGTTGTCCTTCCTCAGCAAATGTTTTCCAGTTACTCTTGTAGCTTCTCGGCCAAGTAGCTCAGTTCTGCCCTGGGGAATATGGGCAGAATTCATGACATTTAGCTTCATTTAGATGAGAGAACATACTCTGTGTGATTTAAACATCTTGAAATTTATCTGTGGTCAAGCACATGGTCTATTTTGTCAACTGCTTCATGTGCACTTGAAATGGCACATCATTTGGTGAATAGAGCTGTTTTTCTATGTAACTACATTTTTCCCTGATAGTTATATCAGTTACTAAGAGATCTATGTTAAAATCTCCAACTATGTTTGCAGATTTATTTCTCCTTTAAATCCTGTCATTGATGCTTAATATATTTAAGCTATGTGATTAGATACATGCACTTTTAAACATTGTGTCTTCCAATTGAATTGAACTTTTATCATCATGAAATGTCTGTCTTTAACTCTGCTAATTCTCCTAGTCTCTAAAGTACACTTAGTATGACAATCTTGCCAAATAAACTTTCTTAAGCTTCTGTTTGCATGTTATAAATATATTTCCTATTCTTTTACTTTCTTACCTTTTTGTTTTGTTTTTTTATGAGACAGAGTCTTGCTGTGTCACCCAGGCTGGAGTGCAGTGGCGCAATCTCAGCTCACTGCAACCTCTGCCTCCAGGGTTCACGTGATTCTCCTGCCTTAGCCTCCCAAGTAGCTGGGACTACAGGCATGTGCCACCACGCCCAGCTAATTTTTTTGCATTTTTACTAGAGATGGGGTTTCACCATGTTGGACAGGCTGGTCTTGACCTCCTGACCTCAAATGATCTACCTGCCTCGGCCTCCCAAAGTGCTGGGATTATAGGCAGGAGCCACTGTGCCCAGTCTATTCTTCTACTTTCAATCTATATTTAAACAGCATATAGTTAGGTATTTTATTTTTTATTTAGTCCAACAAATGTCATTTAGGAGTTTTTAGTCTATGTTTAATGTAACTACTAATATGATTGGATTTAAATTTACCGTTTTGCTATTTGTTATCTATCTCTATTCTCTGTCCTTTGTTCTTTCCCTCCCACCTTCCTTCTTAGTTTGGGTAAAATTTACATTTATATTAGTTATACTTCTTTGGTTCTGTTTTCTATGGGAGGGGGTCTTACTATGTGTATTTTTTTTTTAGATGAAGTTTTGCTCGGTCACCTCAGGCTGGAATGCAATGGCACCATATCAGCTCACTGCAACCTCCACCTCCAGGGTTCAAGAGATTCTCCCACGTCAGCCTCTCAAGTAGCTGGGATTACAGGTACCCACCATCATGCCCAGCTAATTTTCATACTTTTAGTAGAGATGGGGTTTTACCATGTTGGCCACAAGGTCTCCTGACCTCAGATGATCCACCCACTTCAGGCTCCCAAAGTGCTGGGATTACAGGCGTGAGCCACCATGCCTGGCCACTATGTGTATTTTTAACTTACCACAATCTACCTTCAAATGCCAAATTTCTGCATGGTATTCTCTTATTTCTGCCTGTAGAACTCTGAACATTGTTGGTCATTATGAACTACTGGCAGTGAATTATCTCAGCTTTTGCTGATTTCAAAATGTTTCTATTATGCCTTGATTTTTAAAAGATGTTTATTTTAGCATAGAATTCCAGGGTGGCCGCATTCGTCTTTAGTCTCTTTGAAGATGTCATCAGTCATCTGGATTGCATAGTTTCTGCAGAGAAGTCGGCTGTCGTTCTTATCTCTGTTCCTTGACGTCTGGGTTGCATAGTTTCTGCAGAGAAGTCGGCTGTCGTTCTTATCTCTGTTCCTTGACGTCTGGGTTGCATAGTTTCTGCAGAGAAGTCGGCTGTCGTTCTTATCTCTGTTCCTTGACGTCTGGGTTGCATAGTTTCTGCAGAGAAGTCGGCTGTCGTTCTTATCTCTGTTCCTTGACGTCTGGGTTGCATAGTTTCTGCAGAGAAGTCGGCTGTCGTTCTTATCTCTGTTCCTTGACGTCTGGGTTGCATAGTTTCTGCAGAGAAGTCGGCTGTCGTTCTTATCTCTGTTCCTTGACGTCTGGGTTGCATAGTTTCTGAAGAGAAGTTGGCTTTCATTCTTATCTCTGTTCCTTGATAGTATGTTGTTTTTCTCCAGCTGCTTTTAAGATTTTTCTCCTTTTCAGTGGCTTTCAGCAGTTTGTGATGTGTGTCTTGCTGTGTTTTTATTGTATTTTTTCTGCTGGGTGCTTATTGAGCTTCTTGGGTATCTTAGTTTATAGATTTGGAAAAAAATTCTGGCCATTATTTCATCAAATAATTTTTCTGTCCTGTCCTCCTCCTTTTCTAGGGCTCCAATCACATGTGATGGGCCTTGTGGCATTATTCCATGCCCACTTGTGCTTCATTTCTGTCTGTTTCTCCCTGTACATCACTGGGATCACACATAGCTGTATTTTCAGGTTCACTAATATTTTCTCTTGTCGGGTCTAATTTACTATAGTCTCTGCCAGGGTATGACACAGGCAGTGGATGTCAGCCTGTCTCTTTCCCAGCCAACCCAGTGTTTACCTAGTAGAACCATTCACAAACTGGCACTGGAAATAGGGATGGAGATGAGTGTGGATCAATAACAAAGAGCTGACCCATCAACAATAGCCTAGGCTGATGCAGTTATCACTGGACTCCCAACATGTCGGAAGCAGGGTCCCATACTTAGCCCCAGGTACCATTCCTGGGAAAGGGACTAGCCAGCCCCCTGGAGGCAGGTTGATCACACTGGACTCTTCCATCATTGAGGGGAGTATCTCTTGGTTTCAGTTTCCCTTATTCCAGATATGGATATGTCTTTGCTGTCAGTGTTTCTGACAGCACCATCTGTGGGCTTGATGAATGGCTTATTCACTATTGCCCACCTCCTATGGCATTGTTAAGGAATTTACTTTACAGCAAAGGCAGCATGGGAACAGGTACACACTTGGAATCCCTACGTTTCCCATCACCCAGAGGTGGCGAGTCTGATTAAGCATGAGGATGACTTCTTGAAGCTTTAGGTGTGCTGCCCATGGGGAGGCAGTGCCCTAGAACATTGGACTGCCATCCTGATGGATGACATAGTGCCTCGAACTGTGGACCAAGACATGGCACCATTTCATAGCCAGAATAATGTCTGTAATGTCAATGGGTGGAATTAGGACTGGCCCTGCTCACCACCACATCCAACACTTACTGCAGGGTGGCTGGTGCTGCTGTTCAGAAGATCCTTCACCTCCTTTGAGGGGCTCCCTTGCAGGACTGTACGTCTCTGGCTGTTGAATTCAGCTGTGACCACATGGCTTACTGTGGCCAATGAACCAGGAGTGGGCCTGCTGTATTCTGCGTCTGTGCAGCAGATATAGCATCTAGGCAGGCTTGCTTGTCACCTCTTCCCAAAGCCATCTGACTGGCTGAGTCCCAGGAGGGGCTGCTGTGCTGGGCTGGATGCAGATGGTGACATGGAGCAGAGCTGCAGCTGACCTGCCTGGGAGAGACGGGCGAGGACCACATCTGTTTAGCTGACCCTGACATTTTATTGGTTTACATTTGTTACCGCAGCATCAATGATCCCAGGTGGGCTGATAAACCCATTCACATATTTTTGCTTTTCTCGTCTGTGACATTGGGCTCTTTTGCTTTCAAGGTCCTAGTTCCCAAGGCTGGAATGCTCTTACCTGGGACCTCAGTGATCCATCTGCTGCACTGAAAGTTCAGACGGTCATCAGCTATTTGGGGCTGCTCATGCCACTTAGCTAATAGTTCAAGAAAAGCATGCTGTCTTGGTGGGGATGGCTAACCCCAATGAAAGGGCTATCTTGGAGCTCAGTGGATTCTCTAGGTACTTCTCAGGGCTTTCACGACTAATATTGTGACTAATAAAGGCAAGACGACAACTGCATCAGACACACTGGAATGAAAATTTGAGTCCTCTCACTGGGTAAAGAACCCTGACCATCCAAAGTACTGCTTAGGGTCAAGAAAACGTGGAATGGGTAGTGGAAGAAGGAAGGTGTAGCTGCTGATCACAGCCTCACAGCTAGCCACAGCATGAGGACAGTACCGGGCATGCAGGCTGTCCTCTTTGCTTGCTGTGTGTGTGTGAGCATGTGTGGGAGCATATAAGTGTGTGTGCATTAGTGTGAGCATGTGCATGCATGTGAATGTGTCTATGAAGACGTGCATGTGAATGTGCTCATGAGCATGTGTGTACATGTGTAAGCCTCAGCATGAGTGCATGTGAGCATGTGTGTACATGTAAGCCTCAGCATGAGTGCATGTGAGCATGTGTACATGTGTAAGCCTCAGCATGAGTGCATGTGAGCATGTGTGTACATATGTAAGCCTCAGCATGAGTGCATGTGAGCATGTGTACATGTGTAAGCCTCAGCATGAGTGCATGTGAGCCTCAGCGTGAGTGCATGTGAGCGTGTGTACATGTGTAAGCCTCAGCATGAGTGCATGTGAGCATGTGTGTACATGTGTAAGCCTCAGCATGAGTGCATGTGAGCATGTGTGTACATGTAAGCCTCAGCATGAGTGCATGTGAGCATGTGTACATGTGTAAGCCTCAGCATGAGTGCATGTGAGCATGTGTGTACATATGTAAGCCTCAGCATGAGTGCATGTGAGCATGTGTACATGTGTAAGCCTCAGCATGAGTGCATGTGAGCCTCAGCATGAGTGCATGTGAGCGTGTGTACATGTGTAAGCCTCAGCATGAGTGCATGTGAGCATGTGTGTACATGTGTAAGCCTCAGCATGAGTGCATGTGAGCACGTGTGTACGTGTAAGCCTCAGCATGAGTGCATGTGAGCCTCAGCATGAGTGCATGTTAGCATGTGTGTACATGCATAAGCCTCAGCATGAGTGCATGTTAGCATGTGTGTACATGTGTAAGCCTCAGCATGAGTGCATGTGAGCATGTGTACATGTGTAAGCCTCAGCATGAGTGCATGTGAGCATGTGTGTACATGTGTAAGCCTCAGCATGAGTGTATGTGAGCATGTGTACATGTGTAAGCCTCAGCATGAGTGCATGTGAGCATGTGTGTACGTGTAAGCCTCAGCATGAGTGCATGTGAGCATGTGTACATGTGTAAGCCTCAGCATGAGTGCATGTGAGCATGTGTGTACATGTGTAAGCCTCAGCATGAGTGCATGTGAGCATGTGTGTATCATTGTGTGAGCATGTGTGGATGTGAACGTGTTGTGCATATGTGTGTGTGCACGTGAGCCTGGGAGCATGCAAGTCATTTGTTAATTGATTACTCCTTTTCCCACTTCTCAGCATCCCCACTATTTTACACAGGGAATATTAGTGGTGGTAGATGGTGAACTTTGAAACTTAAGTTTTTCATGTCAGAGAATGTCCAGATGGGTTTGTGGCTGTACCAGAGAAACCATTAGTGGCGAGGAAGACTCATGGGTCTCTACTGTTTCTGGGGAAGGTAAAAGCACCTGTGTTGGGTGGTGTGAGTACAGCACTGTGTTGGAAGATGTCTGAGTGTGTGACTTACTTGTGGACACAGAGCAGCTATGGGTGGGCAGTGCTGGTCCTTCACTACCCCGTTTGCCCTCAGCCCCACTTCTCACATTCCCGAGCTCTGCTTCATGGCCCAGGGGGCCTCTCCTCCCAGCCAGCTTCTGGTTAGGATCAGCATACGGCAGCAGCAGGTGCAGCTGTGTCAACTCTTGCGTGAACACCGGGGGTGGGTTTGCTTTTTCCTGAGGGTCCCACCTTCATTTCTCCTGGCTCCAATGCTGAGTGGAGAACTGAACACACAGAAGCAGAGGCATGTTCGATGACAAACACGTGTGCTGCAAACCACACGAGTTACCCTGCTGTGCACCTCCCTGGGTGCACCCGCCGGGCACGGCCACCCTGCCCACAGCCGGCACCTGGAGCCAGACGCTCCTCCTTCTCGGTCTCACACCAGCCGCATCTTAGCAGCAGCTGCCCCATCCAGTGCTGATGTGAGATGTGCAGATCTAGTTTTTGTTTTAACCCTTGCTTTACTTGAAAACTTGGACATATTCAATCAATTTCAACGGCAGTATTCATGTATTAAAAATGGCAGATGCATACAAGCATGAAGAAGTAAAAATTGCTGTTGCTTGAAATAATGTCATTTTGGTGCACATTCTCTCTCACTGAGTGAGGTCAGACTGCACAGCTCCCTGGTAGCCCATGTCTGAGACTTACCTTCCTGAACAACGTAACGATTCATTTTTCACCCTCCCAGTATCCCCCATAATTGTACACAGGGAAATGAGTGGTGGTGGATGGTGAACTTTGAAACTTCGTTTTTCAAAGTATTAAAAAGGAGAAACACCTGCAGATTGGCCATTTGCAGGCTTTTCTCCTTAAGTTTTTCTTCCATCCTTGACGCTGGTGGAGACACAATCTTGATTCTTCACGTGCAGTTTTGGAGAGTGTAACAGGTGAGCTCGGTCTTTTACCTCTAGTTCCAAACCTTTTACTGACTCAGTAGGACTAAATGCCAGATCCATTTTTCTCTCTGCTTGACAAAACACGCTTAAGGTGCATGTGCTTAAAATTGAGAAATTACGTAAGTCAACCCACCAGGCAGGCAGCCAGCCATCCATGTTTCAACTCTGTAAGATGTCTGCTACTGTCCGCAAAATACCAGAACACTCCGGAGCGTCCCTTTGCCACCAAGACAGCTTTTTCTACAGAATTTCAATTCTTGTGTTTTCCAAACATGCTAGAACCACACCAAGAAAATCTCATCTGGATTGGCTCTCCTCTCACAATGCCTGTTGTTGTCTTTCTAATAAAGAACCACACAAAACAACATCATTCCCAAGTATAGACTTTATGTTTTACTTATTCCATTGAAAATCCCAAGTTCCTTCATGGCAACCCTCCCTCTGCCCTCACACCCCAGCAGGTCCCCGCAGGCCAGGGCCCATGCCCCACCTGCCCACGGGTCTGGCCCCCAGGCCACCAGGGGCCCGCTGCGTCCTGTCTCACACACAAGGGGTTTAACTCAACGCTATGTACATTCACAGTTCCGAATATCCGCCAACTCTAAGTCGCCACGAAGAGAAAAGAGAATCAGGAGGAACAAACATCCATTCAAAGTCTGTTTATCAGAGATTTTTTTTTCTGAAAATGCACAGTGGCATTTCATTCAAAAAACCCTTCATCTGCAGACCTGCGGAAGGGAGGTGGCCTGGGTCCCTTCCCTCGGAATATCTTAGTTTATTTACCTCCTTCATTGGCCATTTGCAGGCTCTTCTCCTTGAAAAATGAATCTTTACGCATTCTCCAATTATAAAATCAGTGACTGTTAGCTACCAAAGGCTGCACTAGGATTTCTTCTGTGTCCAACACGCCAAGAGCCCTGAAATTGACTTCGGTTTACTCCATCCCTGTCTGTCCTGCTGGCAGTGTCCATGCTAAAAAACAAGTCGAGGTGATTGATTGAAACGGAGCTGAAGGTTGTTTTTAAATGTCTGTCAGTGGAGAAACGCGTATCACGAATCTCTGAGGAAGTTAGTAAACATTTTTTCCCGTACTTACTGGCCTTGGTGGTCACTTTCTATAGAGATGCCCCAAATATAAAAATCAATTCATTTCAGAAATCAAAAAAATTTTCCAAACAAACCCGGAGCCTTTGCTTTAGGAAGCAAACTCAAGTCTGTGATGATTATTGTGCTTGAAGGATGGGTTTCTAATTCTGTCATAAAAAATGATGAAACAAGGTGATGTCAGAGGGACTTCAGGTGACACCAAAATACCCCATCCAGGGCCTGGAAGCCCCTCTGCCTTTGACTCTAAGATGGGGCAGGACCCCCGCTCTCAGTGGGATGTGCCCGCGACCCTGGCGCTGGGAGGCAGTGCTGCAGAGAGGAGTGGTGTCCGCACGGCTGTCACCAGACATCCTCATCACCCTCCGCACCGCACAGCCCAGCGTCTCCTTCCACAAGCAAAAGACTGCGGCTCCTCTCTCTGCAGGAAGGTCAGCCATACTCGGGTGGCAGCGTGACGCCAGTCACCATGGAAACCAGGGCTGACAGGAAGATGCAGCCGCTTCCAGCAGGGACCTGGCCTGAGGGCAAGGGAGGAGCGGCACGGCGGCGGCTGCCTTGCGCTTCCAGCTCGGGCCCTGCTCATTTGAACAATATCCAACCTCGGACTGGAGTTTAGGCTACAGTGAAATGGATTACGTTATGCCGAAACAGAAACATCAAACTGCCAACGTTTATAAAAAAAGAGGGGACTGGAAAAGGATTAAGAAAAGCAGAAAAAGTGTTTTGGGGCTAGGCCCTTGAGTTCACACCTCCCCAGGGGACCCAGCGGAAGGAGAGGGATTACCTGCTGGAGAGAGGCCTGATGGAAATTTAAGTCAAAGCCCAAACAGCCTCAGATTCTATATTAAAAAAAAAAAGGCCTATAAATAAATATCCTTTGACTCTAAAAGGAAAAATGAAGTAGAAAAACAATTTTCATTTTTTAAAAAATGCTGCATGTTTCCTGAAGTACCTAAATGGAGTTTATAAAATACTCATGAGCTCCAGCACACAGGTAGAAACACTGAAAAATCAGGTGACGGCTCGGCTCTGCCAGGCTGTGGATCCACAGAGGCAGACAGGTTTCGTGCCAGAGTGACACGCAAGCGCACGCTGTGTGGCAGGCGTGTGCTGAGTGTGCACGGAGGCCCGCCCGGTGCACGCTGCCGCCGGAAGAGGCTGTGACAGAGACTCGAAACCAGGGCCCCGTGGGAGAACACGGGGCGGCACCGGTGCCCCCCGCCCGGCAGGGAACCTGACCCCACGGGGTCCAGGCCAGGCGGGGGATCCGCGTGCGCGCCCTCCGATTCTCGCACAGTAAGCGTCGGTTCTGCAACACACTTCACAAAGGAACAAGATACAAACAGCCCCCGAGGCCCCTGGAACTCGGGCTGAAGACAGTGCCTGTACAGCAGGAGTGAGGAGCGGAGCCCAGAGGTCACTCGCAAAGAGGCTCATGGCGGTGATGTCCACGCGGGAGGGGCCGCGTCTCTCCGCAACCCTGGGTCCTAATCCAGCTTCTTGCGAACAGGCTTCCGCCCAGCGTCTGAGTTTTCCGGGCTGAAATCGGCACAGAAGCCGTTTGGGATTGGCGCAGGTGAGGTCTCTGCACAGCTTTCGAAATGTGTCTGATCCGGGTACAGGTATTCCTCTGCGAAGGCAGGGTACATTTCTGCAAACCTGTGGAAGTCAGCTGGAAAGACAAAGGCACCTGTGGTTATGGAATGGGGACGAGCAAATGTCTAGGATTTGGAGGCTCTTTTCCCACGGCCCTGGTGGGTGTCCACCTCACGCCCTCCAGGGAGGGTTAGAATCGTCTGTGAAACGGATGCTTTCAGGGTGGAGAGAAGAACTTGCGCTTACTTTCTTTGCAGCGCACGAAGTCACCCTGACAACCGGGGCAGGCTGGGTGTCCTCCTAGCTACTCCTGCTTTTGGGAAACCCTACAGAAAGCTTCTGGTTTTGAATTCGACAGATATATCCCGGGGACTTAGCACTTCTGAGGCACTGTAACCAGAGAAGCTGGCTCAGGGACAAGACCAAGTGTCTGGACAGTGATCTGGCGCTCTGAGGGGGTGCCCTCGTCCACCCTGGGAGACCCGGTAGGCAGGGGGCCGTCCTCACAGAGCCTCGGACTGCACTTCCTGGCCGCTGTGCCTGGCTCTCATGTGAGCGCCCTCGGCTCCTACTGATGGCGCCATGGAGGCTTCTGGTGGGGCTGGAAAGATGGTGCAGGGGGCTGGTCATGCTAGGCCGCTCCAGAAACACTCAGAACCTGGGCCACCCGGCGAGAAATCCAGGGATGGTTGTTACTGGAAATTGCAGCTGGTCGGTGCCCACTACAAACATCAAAGAGCCCGAACACACCAAGGAGCATTGCACACTTTCAAAATGGAAACAAGCGCACGCATGCACACATGCAAACACACACACACGGTAACCAAACACACATGTGCGCACACACACAAAACAAGCACACACACGGTAACCACACATGCGTGCACACACACACACACAAAAGCACGCACACACACGGTAAACAAACACATGCGTGCACACACACAAAGAGCACACACGGTAAACACACATGCACGCAGACACACACACACAAAACAAGCACACACACGGTAACCAAACACACGTGCGCGCACACACACAAAACAAGCACACACACGGTAATCACACATGCACGTACACACAAGTGTGTGCACACACAGTAAACACATGCGTGTACACACAAACAAGTGCACACACACACTAACTAAACACACATGCGTGCACACACAAAACAAGCACATGCACACACATGGTAACTACACACATGCACGCACACATACAAAACAAGTGCAGGCACACAATAACATGCACACACACAAAACAAGCGCAGGCACACTAAACACACATGCGCACGCACAAGTGCACGCACACACACGGTAACACACATGCGCATGCACACATGGTAACCACACACATGCACACACACACAAAACAAGCGCAGGCACACGCGGTAACTAAACATGCATGCACACACACAAAACAAGCGCACGCGCACACAGTAACTAAACACACATGCGTGCACACACACAAAACAAGCACACGCACACAGCAACTAAACACACATGCCCATGCACACACACACACGCACGGTACTAAACACATGTGCGCGCACACACAAAACAAGCGCAGGCACACAGTAACTAAACACACATGCGCACGCACAAGTGCACGAACACACACGGTAACACACATGCGCATGCACACATGGTAACTACACACATGCACACACACACAAAACAAGCGCAGGTACACACAGTAACTAAACATGCATGCACACACAAAACAAGCGCATGCGCACACAGTAAACACGTGTGCACACACACAAAACAAGCACACGCACACAGCAACTAAACACACATGCCCATGCACACACACAAGTGCACGCACACACACGCACGGTACTAAACACGTGCGCACACACACAAAACAAGCACAAGAGCACAGACACGGTAACTAAACACGTGCGCTTTCAAAATGGAAACAAGCATGCACATGCACGCACACACACAACACACATGCACGCTTTCAATACTGAAACAAGCATGCACATGTGTACACAAACGTGTGCACACACGGTAAACATGCACACTTTCAATACTAAAAGAAGCACGCACATGCGTGCACACACGTATGCACACGCACGGTAACACACGTGCACTTTCAGTACTGAAACAAACGCACACAGGCGCACACGCACACACACGTGTGCACACACACGGTAACTAAGCACACATACATGCTTTCAATACTGAAACCAGTGCGCACATCCGCACTCCCGCCTCCGGCTCCCGCACAGACGCTGTGCACGCAGCTCTCTCGCGTGTCTTCTCGTTTGCTCTAAGACCACCCTTCCAGGTGGGGATTGCGGCATCCACTGGGATGAGCCAGGCCAGGGCCTGCAGCCCTGGGAGCCTCGGGTGGATGCAGCGTAGCTCATTCACACTGCAGGGGAGGGAGGCGCCCCGGGCTCGGGTTTGCGGATTTTGCACAGCAATTTAAAAATATCAACCGCCATTACCGACAGCTCGTGCTCTGGAATCAGCCGTGTTACCAGTCACCTCATCAGATGTCCACAGACAGGTGACTTTTCTCGGGAGGAAGTCGCCCTGGGCGGCACGGGGGTCTGCAGCGCCCGCCTCCTCGTCTCTCCTGACAGACCCCTCCCAGGAGAGGGGGGATGTGAGCCACACCCCGGCTGGCAGTGACAAAGCCCACAGCCAGTGGCCTCGAGGGCTGGGTGCGGGTATCCCCCACCTCCAGGCACCTGAATCCCAGCCTGAGGCCATGGAAGGCTCAGAGCTTCGGAACTGGGCTTGGAGTTTGGTTGTATAAATCGCCAAAACAAATCAGATTGGAAAGCTCCCTACGAACGCTGCCAGGTCTCCAGAACCTTCCTTCTCAGGGGTTTCTTTGTTACACAGGGCAGCCTGGTGAATGGAGGCATGGCGGGGACTCCACTCCTGTCCTGGGCTCCCACGGAGACTCGCCCCACACTCTGTCCAGCCCCCGCCCAAGGGTCGCGAGGACGACCCCACTCCTGCGGGCTCACCGAATGTGATCTTCCCCTTCTCCTCTTGGTCAATGGCTCGGAATAGGTCGGTCACGGTGAGCTCTGCCACCCCCAGGGCCGTCTTGAGGATGCAGGACAGGTCACCTTCGCCGACGCTGCCGTCCTCTTGCGCTCCGTACATCTGCAAGGCAAACTGGGTGTCACCTTGCAGCCTCCTCCCCTGCCCACCAGGCCCCGCTGTCCAGGGACACCCCAGCGGCCCTGCCCCGCTTTGTCAGAGCTGCTGGGCACCTGCAGGGCCGGCGGCTGGACACGGGGGACTCGAACTTCCATGTGGAGCCATGCAGCAGGGCCCTGTGCCTTGGATCTGGCCCCCTCCAGGTGCCTCGTGGACACACAGCAGATGCTTCTCGGGCAAGGGCTCAGACGCTGCCCACCCCACCCGTGATAGCTCAGCAAACCAACCAGCACCTGTGGCTGCCACTGGGAGGCCGCGGAAGGGTCCTGCCTGGGCCACGGGCGAGCGCGGCGCAAGCTTGGGCTGCAGAGTTCCCCCACGGCCCTCTGCCTCCGTGAGTGCAGGCTACAGCAGACGTGTTCACAAGCATCAGTAATAACATGAAAAAGCCCTGATGGTTAGAAATCGACAGGGCAGATCAGGAGCAGAAATGAGAAGGACCTGGGAGGGCCGGGAGGGCTCCAGCGGGGAGCGGGAACCAGGACCCGGGCTCTCTCCTGAGCCTCACAGGTGACGCCTCCTCTCTTCCTCCTGCTCCAGGTGTGGAAGCGGCGGCTCCGGCCCTCTCTGTGCAGGGCCCAGTGCCGAGGCGCCTGCCGCCCGCTCCCCACAACTCCACGGCGCTCCCCTCCCTGGCTCCACAGACTCTGTGCCCTGGAGATCCCCCAGACCCCTTGATCAGGGCCCGCCCATCCCTTTGTCCCTCTACCTCCTTGGAAACACTTCGGCTCCCTGTGGGGTGCAGGGTCCTGCCCCAGCCCTTTAGGCTCGAGCCTGGCCCACGGGCTCTGTGGCAGCGCTTTCCTCTGAGGTCCCGACGCCGCCCGTGTCCTTCCGCTCCAACCCCTGGGCTCCCTCAGATGGGCCAGCTCTTCTACCTGGTTCTTCCCCGAGTCCTCTGCCTGGGGCTGCACCATCCCCCGCCGCCCTCTCTCTGCCTGGGGTCCACGGTTCCTGGGGCTCCGACGGGGCCGTCGCCCTGACTCCGAGTCCCCTTCTCCTGCTGCAGCGCGCTGTGATCTTGTGAGCGTTTGCTCCACCCTCCGAGAAGTGGGCTGCCTGGGAGGGGCGTCGCCTCTCTTCAGGGAGGGGCTGCGCCTTCACCTCCACCGGCTCCTCCTTGCGGTGCTCAGGGAAGAAACGCTGACGCCTCCAGCCTTCCGGCCTGGCAAGCTGTCCCCGCGTTCACACCCTCTTCCCGGGGCTCTGCCTCTACCCCATGGACCGGGTCTGCTCCAGGCTCTGGAGACCCCATCCTCACCCTCCACTCTCCCTCCCCTGGGCCTCATCCCACAGCGCTGCCGCACGCGGCCACCCTGTCTTCTGTGGTCTACGTTTCTCTCCTGCTTTTAGATTTGCTGAATCAAACATCTGCAGACGAAATCCACGTTGGTGCTGCTGGAGCCTCAGAACGGGCCGGGTCAAAGCTTCAGGGCCACGGCCTCCAGCTCCTCGGCCGACCTGGATCCCACTCAGCCCCCAGAGAGCAGTGCCTCCTGCCCCCTAGTGGTTGCAAGGCTGCTTCAGAGGGGACAACCTGACATCTGTGTCCATTTGGACATGAGAACTGCAGATGCAGACTTTCATCCTCGGAGCCTCGTGTAGATGCTGCACGGGAAACGCAGAGGTAGGACTGAGGCTACCACAGGCAACAGACTTCAGGTTCTCACTGTCCACTCTCTGAGCCGCTGGAAGTTTTACCAGGGCCACATCTTAAGGTTTTACACAGTAATGATAACGAAAAAGAACAAAAACAAGGGGCCCCAAGGCGTATGAAGCACATCGGTGCGCTGCGCATCCGGAGTCCTGAGCACCGGCGTGTGCCTCTGGGGTCCTAGGTGCTAGGAGTTCTGTGTCCACAGTCAGCCTGGGGGGCAGCTTCCTGGATCTCTGTGTCCCAAGAGCAGCACGCTGGTGCACTTGCCACGCTCTCTCACACGAGACTGCTCCGTGGAAGCCCTTCCTGCTACATGCAGTCCCCCCAAAATGTGCCAGGCTCCCAGAGCAGCAGCAAAGCACAATGGCCATGACTTCAGGAAATGATGACACCATGAAAGGTATAGGCTGCAGAAAGGGACATGGGGAAGCAGCCTGCAAGAAGGTGGGAGGAAGGCAGGGCATATGCCGTCAGGGCGGAGCTGCTGAGGGTGGAGGTGAGGCGGGACCCTGGTGTCGCCGTGGGGACGCAGCCATATCAGCGGCCTGGAAGCCTGTGAGAAGTGATCACCCATCCTGCCCCCAGGTGGTCACTGTAGGGCAGCCTAGGCCTCACCCATCGCCTGGTTCACCTGAGAAAGACCTCCTAGTGGCACATACCCCACCCCAAGCAGGGACCCGGTGCACACTGTCCTCCCCAGTGGGCGTCCTCAACCCTACCACAGCCAGTTACCCTGCCCACCTGCAGGTGGGGCCTGTGCAGGAGGAAGGTCGGGCTCCACAGCCCATTGTTCATGTTGAGAAACAAGGCAACTGCCACCCCCACCGCTGCTGTCATTCGTTCCAGGTTATACTTGGTGGCTCTACAGCAGGGGCTGGTGGGGCCAGCAGAACGGGGGGCGGTGGCTCATGCCTGTAATCCCAGCACTTTGGGATGCTGAGGTGGGCGGATCACTTGAGGCCAGGAGTTTGAGACCAGCCTGGCCAACATGGTGAAACCCTGTTTCTTCTAAAATTACAAAAATTAGCTGGGTTTCATGGCACGAGCCTGTAATCCCAGCTACTTGGGAGGCTGAGGCACGAGAATCACTTGAACCTGGGAGGCAGAGGTTGGTTGCAGTGAGCCAAGATTGCACCACTGCACTCCAGCCTGGACAACAGAGCGAGACTCCATCTCACAAAAATTAAAAAAAAAAAAACAACAGGGCACAGTGAAAGCAGGGCCAGCAGGGGCCGCAGGGCCACAGGGCCTGGCTCAGATCAGGGGCCCTAGGAGGCAGGCTGCCCAGGCCTGGAGGAGGCAGGGAGGTCAGGCTTTCTTACACAGAGCTGCCAAATGTTGAGGTCATCGAGTTCATCCTGCCTGGGGAGACCCCCACAAGCCACCTTTTCATGTGGGGACATTCCCCAGTGTTGCTATGGAGAGGGTGTGCTGGCATCAGAAGCAAGAGAAGGGAGTTCTTGGAGCGGTGAGAGACATGCAGCTTCTTGACTCACACATCAGGCCCTTGAGAGTCTGGCTAATGTGAGTCACACCCTGTGAGAAGCCTTGGTAAAGTTGTGCCTCTGTACAGGCAAAGCCGGCCCAGCTCTATCCCAGATGAAATCCACATTGGTGCTGCTGGAGCCTCAGAATAGGCCAGGCCAAACCCTCAGGGTTACCTGGCCTCCCGCCCTCCAGGCCTGACCCAGACCCCACTCAGCCCCCAGGGAGCAGCGACTCCCTGTGGTGAGGCAAGTCCTGAGGGCTTCCCAGGAGTCTGCAGCTGGGCTGGGACCCCAGACTCCCCCAGTGGTGATGACTGGGCTCTGACATGTTGTAGCCCCTGGGGTTAGCTGAGGTGGGCAGCTCCTAAGCCGTGCTTTCTTCACCAGTCCAGTCTGAGGGGGAGAGAGGACAAGGTGTGTGGCCCCTGTGTTAGGTGCCCTGTAGTGTGTGATGGTGTGTGACACCACCAGCCCCACCCAGGTGCCCCAGGACCCAGGAAGAACCTCAGCCATGCTTTCTGATGAGTGTGGATTGCTAATCCAGGAAGAAATAAATCTGGGAGTTTTCTGGGCATTTTACAAACAACAGCTAGCATAAAAAGCTTACGTAAAAATAGCAGTTGGGCAAATGATCAATTAACTGATATTATAAGGAACTAGAGAAATGAACAATGGTGCTGACGTGACTGCACCGCCCTGTCCCCCAGTCAAACCCATGTGAACTCTGCACTCACCTTGAAAGCCAGCTGGATGGTGTCCAGGGTCCGGGCCGGCCGGCAGACGACAGACAGGGCAACCACACACTCTCGCAGGTCCACCTCGCCGCTGCCGCTCTGTGGGGAGAGACGCTCTCAGCCACAGCTCGGCCGCCTTCGGCACTGGAGAAACGCCAGGGTTTCCCATGGGTGCTGGTGTTAATTAAAGGCCAGTCCCACTCTCACTCGGGAACATCTGCCCATGTGAAAAGGGAATCTTGGAAGGACATTCCACCAAGTGGGTTCTCCAAGGTCACTGTGCTGTGTACACTTCTTGGGGCCATTACAGTGACTTCCCAAAGTTCACAAGGCTGCCACAGGAAGCACCTCAGCAAAGCACACGCGATGCAATGCCTGCCACCTGCCAAGACCTGCATTTGAGAATACCCCCTAAGCACCAAGGCTGATTCTGGGCTCTAGGAATTTGGTCTGTTTATGGCAACCCATTCATCCTGCAGAAAGAAGGTGAACCCGGAGCTGTGACGTGGAGCTAAACAGCAGCCCGGGCCAGCTGTGGAAGCCAGTCAGCCCCGCGCTGACCATTCTCAGTAACTCCTCACACCCAGAGTCTCCAGGGACATGCTGATGTGAGTGAGCAGGGTGGTGAGAGGCACAGGTGGGGGCTGACAGGGTCTGCACTTCTGATGACGATGGGGACAGTCTGCACGTGGCTGCAGGGTGTGCCCAGGCCACAGGAAAGAACCTCCCAGGTCAGGGCGGGAGGAGGTGAGGAGCACCCTGGACAGGGGGAAGACTCTCTGGTCAGACAGCAGGAGATGAAGGGCAACCAGGAGTGGAGGGAGGACTCCCTGGTCAGAGAGCAGGAGGAGGTTCCAGGAAGAGAGCAGCAGGAGCATCCAGGGGTAGAGGGAGGGCTCCCAGGTTGGAGAGAACAAGAGAAGGTGGGGAGCACACAGGATAGGGGGGAGGACTCTGGCCAGACAGCAAGTGAGAAGCACTCAGGACAGGGGGAGGACTCTGGCCAGAGAGCAGGAGGTGAGGAGCACCCAGAGGCAAAGGAAGGACTCCCTGGCTGGAGAGAGCAAGAGAAGATGAGGAGCACC
Source organism: Homo sapiens (assembly GCF_000001405.40). Lineage (NCBI taxonomy): Eukaryota > Metazoa > Chordata > Mammalia > Primates > Hominidae > Homo > Homo sapiens. Next base: position 37,862 of record NT_187547.1, on the reverse strand, counting down.
CAGGAGAGGGGAAGAATTTTGGCCAGAGAGCAGGAGGTGAGGAGCACCCAGGACAGGGGGAGGACTCTGGCCAGGCAGCAGGAGGTGAGGAGCACTCAGGAGCAGAGGGAGGACGCTCTGGTCAGAGAGCAGGAGGAAGTGAGGTGAGGAGCACCCGGGGCAGAAGGACTCCCTGATCAGAGAGCAGGAGATAATGAGCACCCAGGATGGGGGAGGACTCTGGCCAGAGAGCAGGTGAGGAGCACCCAAGGGCAGAGGGAGAACTCTGGTCAGAGCAGGAGGAGGCGAGGTGAGGAGCACCCAGGGGCGGAGGGAGGACTCCCTGTTCAGAGAGCTGGGGGTGAGGAGCACCCAGGGGCAGAGGGAGGACTTTGACCAGTAGTTGCCCCTCTACGCTTGTGTCAACCACAGGCTGTAGGTGCTAGGGGTGAGACGCACACAGGTCCCTGAAGGTCTTCTGAGGGAACTGATAGCTTTCTTTGTGCTACGCCACACCCCTTGCAAGGCATGGGGTACTGGGACTGGGGCTTGGGTGTCTGGCAGGTGGAAATGACTACAAGTCCCTGGCTCTGGGAAGGTCTCGGGCTGGGGGTCTGAGGTCCTGGGTGTAAATGGAGAATACTCCTATCTCATAAGATCATGTGCATCTGAAATTGCAGAAAATAAAAAATTAACTGCACAGTGTCATAAGTTACCTCGGAACGCTGCCTGTGAAACCAGGAATGCTGCCTGTGAAACCAGTATTCACCATTTCACGTTTCAATTCCAACACTGTGGTAAAGCGCCTGAGTGCAAACGCAGCTGCAGATGTGGCACGGACACCAGGAGGGACTCGCATCCGAGACGCTGTTTGCAGCTGCCTCGTAGTAGAGGGCCCGCGGCTGGGGGCCCCTTACGGACACTAGGCAGGACTCGCATCCGAGACACTGTTTCCAGCTGCCCTGTAGCAGAGGGCCCGTGGCTGGGGGCCCCTCTGGTGCGTGTGGGAGAATGCCCTGAGCCACGCACTGTGATCCTTGGTTCACACTCTGCATACTTGCGGGGCAGCCTCCTTCCCCTGTCCTGGGTGCTCCTCATCTTCTCTTGCTCTCTCCAACCAGGGAGTCCTTCCTTTGCCTCTGGGTGCTCCTCTCTCCTCTCTCCTGCTCCTCCTGCTCTCTGGCCAGAGTCCTCCCCCTGTCCTGAGTGCTCCTCACCTGCTCTCTGGCCAGAGAGGCCTCCTGCCAGCCCGGGTTCCACCCAGGACTGCACTGCAGCTGCTCCGTGTTGGTGCAAAACATATATGGTGCTGTCACACGGGACATCTCATGCTGTCACGGGACAGTCATGGCTGAAGGAGCCTTCTACACACACCCTGGCGTATCACCAGCTCCTCCAGGACCACAGTGTAAGTGTCCATGCTGTGACACTAACACCCAGAAAAGACCAGGATTGGCTGACCTGTGGCTCGCCGTGGCAGCCTGTCCCGCCCCTGCGTGCCACCTCGCACCTTCCTAAAACCCCGAGGCTGCCCGCCATGTTCAGGGCCACCTGGTGTGACCGTGGATGCCTCATCAATTACGACGAGGACCTGGGGATGACGTGCGGAGGGCAGAGGGGAGTGGGCGGCTGCACCAGGAGGAAGCCCTCCCACACCCACAGGCTGGCGGGGAGCCTCTAAGCCGATCATAGAGGACGGGCGTGTTATTAGAAACTCTGACGCTGCAAAGAGCAGCTCTGGTGAGCAGGGGACCCTGCAGGGGGTCCCTTGGAGACCCCAGGCTGGGTGTCACAGTTTGATATTGTTAGACTCCGTAATCACACTGAAAAACCCCAAACCACAGGCACATTCATCAGTGAAGGGTAATTTAAACGTCAAATGTGTACGCGTATTTAAAAGCATGGAAGGAAATACCTCAAAATGATAGGGTGGGGTGGTGATGGGTGGTTTTCCTTCTCTGCTTTCAAATTCATGTGAAAATATATTTATATTAGAATGAGAACAATTTATGCTTCAAAAAGCAGGAGGTTTTGCCGACACCCCGCTCCGCAGGCGACAGGCCCTACCTCGTCGAACAGTGAAAACATGTCTTCCAGCAAGTCAGAAACGGGGACTTCCAGGGAGGCGGCAAACTCCGCAATACCTATCTTCTCTCCTCCCTTCATCCTGGCTCTTTCTGAGTATCTGTCCAGATCTTTTTCAAGCTTTTCTGGTTTTAGCCTAGACAAAAAAAGAGGGAAAGCTTTCTTTTTCAATAAAATGGTGGCATGCTAACACCAGATTTACTTCTAAGACTCATCAAAATATTAAAATTGACAGAAGTAGCAGCAAGCTAGTTTTCAAGAAAAGGCATTCTCCTAATTGGAAGGTGCGAGATGTGTTCTGTCCAAGTGTCAAGCCAGGTGCCTGTGCCCCTGAGACCCGTTCCCTTCCCAGGGCAGATGTGGCAGGACACAGGGTGGCCCTCCTGGGGCGCCGTCCACAGACAGCTGATGCCAGCATTAAGGGATTGAAAGACACTATGTGGGCTTAAGTTGATATTTGAAAAAAGCCAGAATAATTAATAATTATCTCCTCAGTTCCCCTCCCTGCAACCCCAGGCAGCCCCCGCCAGACCTCGGCATCACGGGTTCTAGCTAATGCTCAAGGAAGAAGAACCAGGTACTCACCCGAGGCCCCGCACGAGCCTGGCAAATTCTAAAAGGCAAGTGTCAGCGGGGAGACGGAGCTGTCCTTCCGCCAGGGCCAGCTGGCAGTCCTCGAACGTGTAGTCAGTCACGGAGACACCCAAGGCCCTACAAGGAGGGCAGCACCCCCGTCAGCCCAGCCTCGTGGCAGCCAGTTCCCACCGCCCCACCAGAATAACCGCCGATGGCTCAGGGGAGAGGAGGGCTGAGGAGAGGCAGTGAGACAGGGGAAGGGCCAGTTGGTGGGGCAGTCACACATTCATCGATCAGCTTCACCTCTCGTGGGTGCTCTGAAACGATGACGGCAGCCACACCAAAGGTCACTGACACAGACTGCCATCACGTGAGAATCGTGAAAAAGTTTGAAACAGCGTGAGAATTACCAACATGTGACGTGGAGACACGAAGTGAGCTCATGGTGCGAGAATTACCAACATGTGACCCAGAGACGCCAAAGTGAGCTCACAGTGCTGGAAAACGGTGCTAATAGGCTTGCTCAACACAGGGTTGCCACAAACGTGAAGCAACTGTCTGTGAAGCACAGGATGAAGCAGAGTGAGGCGGGCTGTGCCCTCACTCCCAGAGCTGCTCTGACCGTGCCGTGTGTGCTCAGGTGATGAGAAATCGGTGCCTCTCTAGTCCTAGTTGAGAGCCGCTGAAGTTCCCCTTGGCAAACTTAGGCATCATCATTTGGAACAGGAGAGTCTCAGGCTATCCACAGGAAAGGACAAGGCCCAACTGAGCGGCTGCCTGTGAAGCTCACAGCAGTCCTGGCCCCGCCACGTGTGACTCCAGGTGAGCCAGGGACCAGGAGCCCTGGCTGGGAGAACCACCCACCTCCGCCAGCCACACCTGGGGCCATCCCCGGCCTCTCCTGATGGCCCGTCCTGGGTGGCACCTCTCTCCAGGCCAGCACTGCACACGTGCCATTCAACTCAGAACCCCAAATGACTCAGAGGCGAGCCCCATCCCAGATGAAAACCAAGGTCGAGGAAGGATGTGTGCGCTCTGCCACCCTGGGGTGCCACCATCCTTGCAGCGGGCAGGGGAGGAGAACGTGCTTCCAACACTGCCTCCTAGGACCCACTACGGGAGTGGGAAACCAGCCGGGAGGAGGCGCTGCCAGGGTCCCTCTGCTCATGATCAACTCCACTCCCCGAGTGGGGCTGCACGGCCCCGCCCAGGCCCAGGAGTCCGAGGCTGCTTCTCCCTCCCATCTCCACTCCGAGTGGGGCTGCACGGCCCCGCCCAGGCCCAGGAGTCCGAGGCTGCTTCTCCCTCCCATCTCCACTCCGAGTGGGGCTGCACAGGCCCCGCCCAGGCCCAGGAGTCCGAGGCTGCTTCTCCCTCCCATGTTCCTTGGTGGGGGGTTTTGCTGACGGTGGCAGACCCTCCAACGGCCCTGATGTGATGAAACATGGTTCCCGGTAATTTGGAGTGGGGTTTTAAGAGAATTCTGAATTACTACAATGGAAATGGCAGCACTCTCGTACCCTAAAAAAAGTACAAGTTCCTCGGAGTCTGTTTGAAATGGAGGGTTCTAAAATAATCAGTGAGGCCCACAGGCGATCTCTCCTTGAGCGCTGTAAAATCTGTTCTCTTCCTCCTAAGTCCCCAAAAGTAGCCAGTATTGGCAGCAGTCCGGAGCACAGGTGCTGGGCTTGGAGGTGGGAATGCATTCCCCTGGCTCGGCGCCTACTCAGCTTTTTGTATTGTTCAGAGCTGCCTGTGGTGGGGGTTGAGTGGAGCTTTGCGGGACAGAGACTGCCGGGCCCATTTCTACCCTCGGACACATGCTTTGGGAGGGAGAGGATGGGAACGTGAGGGAACGGGCCGCCCAGCTGAATCTTCAGGGTGTCAGCGGAGTGTGAACAAAGTGGCTCGGAGGTCAGAGCCAGGCACACTCTGATGGGCCCGGCCGTGGCTGTGTTCCCCTCTGGGCTCTCTGGAGAGGCGAGTTCCCAGCCATGCCCCGACCTGCTGCAGCAGGAGCCTGGGGGTGGGGCCGGTGGACCGAGGCTGATGTGGCTTCCAAGTGGCTCCTGCAGCTCAGGTCTGGCAGCCGCCCGGTGGAGGGGAGGCTCTAGCTCCACTGGACAGAGCTTTGCAGGAGGAAGCACTAGGGAGGCATTCACGTGGGGGTAAATCCAGGTGGGAGGACCTGGTTGCAAGGACAAGTGTGGGGGGAATGGGACCTGAGGGATGGAAGGTGCTGAGGGAGGGAGATGGGGAGGGCGTGTGAGCTGACGACACCGAGGGAGGGAGAGGGGGAGGGCGTGTGAGCCGACAGCACTGCCGGCCATGCAAGCAGGGGACCTGGGACCATGGGAAGCGAGGACATTCCCTCTTCCTAACTGCATGCACGACAACTGTGTAAGCAGCACAAGTCACCTTACAAGATTAAATGTGCAACCACCACTCCACTCTGCCAGATAGAGTAAGGGCACCGGTAAGTATCACACAGGCAGATGAGCAAAGGTAGGCGTGGAGGCCGCCGCACAGATGTGAAGTTGGCCCAGGCCAGCGCCCCGCTGGCTCATTTAGGGCACAGGAAACATAGGACCTGGGGTGACCAACGGCTGCAGGCAGGTCTGGAAGAACCAGTCATGCATCTTCCCAACGTCAAAGAGGGTGAAATGCCATCAGAGGGAAACAAGGGGCGCACAGCACAAGGCCAAGCACGCTTCACCAACATGCATGAAGCTGGTTCCCGCACTTCTGCAAGAATGCCTTTTCCTAACGCTGTTGCCTATTTTAAATATACAGAGAGCAGCACTCTGGGAGACACCCCTGACTCGGCGATGGGGGAAGGAGCTGCTCACTTACTCGGCCATGACTCGCCGCACGTTGCTGGCATACAGCGCGGGGTTCCTCTTCTCCTCCTCAGAAGGGCTGTACACAGGAAGGAACTGAGCACACAGAGAAGCTGCGTTAGTATCACAAGACGCTGACCTCAGCAACACCACTGTAACGACAACTGGGAGGCTGACAAAATTAAGATCTGTCAAAGTAACGCCCATTAGAACCGTCTTCAAAGTTGTCATGTGCACGTGTGTGTACGCACACACACACCCCCATGATGCATGAACTGCACACGTGTGCACCTGAACACTCACCCTCATTGGTGCTCCCTGGGAGCACCTGCTGCCTACATCAGAACATCTGGCTCTCTGATCTACACTCACCCCCGTCAGTGCTCCTGGGAGCGCCTGCTGCCTACATCAGAACATCTGGCTCTCTGATCTACACTCACCCCCGTCAGTGCTCCTGGGAGCGCCTGCTGCCTACATCAGAACATCTGGCTCTCTGATCTACACTCACCCCCGTCAGTGCTCCTGGGAGCGCCTGCTGCCTACATCAGAACATCTGGCTCTCTGATCTACACTCACCCCCGTCAGTGCTCCTAGGAGCTCCTGCTGCCTACATCAGAACATCCAGCTCCCTGATCTCACAGAGGGGCTTACGCCCATTTCTGACAGCATCAGTTTTGTAATGGGGATAATGCAGCACGTTATTCCTACATTTGGAACAGATTATTGGCAGCGTTTTGCCACCTCTTGCATTTTGAAACTAAAAGAAATTGTCCAGTGAATTTGTCCTTGCCTGAGTGACACTTACACAGCATTTTAAATGAATATGACCCACATTGCACACCGTGCAGGAAAGGGCACAAGACTACCCTGGATGTCCTTTTCTCTAATACGGAATATTTCAGAATACAGGAACATCCTGAAACCCCAATTCTCGCTGTTATTTCTAAAACTTCCGTAAACTGCCATGGTTCCTTGCATCAACATTTGCATCTTGTATGAACAACGTCAGTAAGGACAGAGCAGTTTTGCACAGCCATTCACTTTCTTTTCAACTCTTAAAATTAGAAACCAGGCCTGTAACACAGCCATTCAACACCAGGGAGCCCTCAGGAGCTCAAGCTCAGTCCCTGTGTTCTGTGCTCGAGGCCTGGCCTGCACCCTCCCGGCCACTGCCCATCCAGCCACATAATCCTGCTGGGTGGGGGAACTGCCGCCCTCAGGCCCGGGCCAAGGCCCTTCAGCCCAGTCCTCTGTAATGAGAGCAGCTTATCCTCTATGGAAGTGAACAGCCGGGCTGAAAGCCGGGCTTATCAGTATATTTCGTAGTGCTCTCCAATATTTACTGGAAGGCAGCAAATTGTTTTATTAAATATTTAAGTTGCATGTGACTCATCTTTTATTTCCAGATGCAAGAAGTGCATATTAATTCCCCTTTTAAACAAAAAAAGAACTACTCCTCATCGACTTAGAAAAAATTGTGCAGGCTACACAGAGGTGACTATTTAGCCCAAGGTCTTGACTCTGGAGACCTGGGTCAGGCTGAGAAGGGGGATCTTTGACTATGTATTAAACAGAGCATGGTGCTATGACAAACTCAGCGGTATTAAATATGTAAAGTAAAACTAAGAGCCAAACAAATAATTATTTGCATGTGGGCCAGCTTCATATGTCCTTAAGCTACAATACCCATAATAATGAATGGTAGGTTTAAAAAATCCTTTCCAGCTGGGTGTGGTAGTTCACGCCTGTGATCCCCGCACTTTAGGAGGCCAAGGCGGGAGGACTGCTTGAGCCCAGGAGTTTGAGACCAGCCTAGGCAACAAAGTGAGACCCATCTCTACAAAAATTAGCTAGGCATGGCGTGTGCCTGTGGTCCAATTACGTGGGAGGCTGAGGCAGGGAGATCACTTGGGCCCAGGAGGTCGAGGCTGCAGTGAGCCCATCGCTACACTCCAGCCTGGGCAACAGAGCAAGACAAAATGCTGTCTCAGAAAAACAAAAAACAAAAACCCAAATCTTATCCAAGTGGTTCAGACTCATAAGAGAGACATAAAGTCATTGAGGTAAAGCAACCAGAGGCTCCTCGAAGGAGCCCTGAGAAACGGAAAGATGGGAAAGCAAGACAGGTGATATGCCACATTGTACAAGGCTTATCTGGGCATCCTGGTGTAAGCTCGTGTCTGCATCAACCACTGTGAAGAGCGCTGTGTAACTCTGTATCCATACGAACCTCGATTTCCACTTGGTTGTGAAACTGACACAGCGTGAGCCACAGGATTTCCAGCCTTAAAAACAGATTGCACAATGTTGAGCAGATTTACAACTCGGGTTAACAAGTAAATTACTCCCAATTCTGGGGTGAAACCTCCAGACGCGCCCTCCAGAGGGCGCTACTGGGCAGTCAACGCTCCCACGGAGGGGGTGCCGTGCCCACCCAGCCCGAGCCCCAGTGTGACGTACAGCCGTGGGTGGAAATGCTGCTTTTCCGATTCAACACCTGCTTATGTCCTTGGTTCGTCTAGCAAGACACCATCTCCTGCTTGTTCTCCAGCTCAGGAGACCTCGTACAGCCCACACCTGTCCCTCCACACCTGTCCCTCCTCGCTGTCCCCAGGCAGCACAGGCCCTGAGTCATGCCACCCCTCCAGCCTGGATCCAGAGTTCCCAACCTCAGAACCAGGATCACCATGCCTTTGCCGCAGGAGTTGACATGGGAGACATTTGGAGCTGCTCCCAGGGCCACACTCACGCCTCCGACAGCCCAGTGCCCCAACCCTCTTTCTGCCCTGTCATGCCAGCCCCAGCCCTAGGCCCCCGGGACCCCAGAACCCCTATACCCCCCAGAGCCCCCTCCCAGCTCTGCTCCCAGCTGGGAGCCTCCACACGCCAGCCTGGGAAGCGCTGACCTCAACACCTTCACCTGAAAGCACCAGCGGACCCACATCCTCCCAAACGCCTGGAATGGAGCTGCTCTCTCTTGGACTTTCCCGCTCCCTCTGCCCTCCCGACGTCAGCTCAGACGTCAGCACCCAGGAGGCCCTGACCAGCCTGTGGCCCCGGGCTTCTCCTCTGGGGCTCGTTCCCGTTTCCGTGGGGTTGTTCATTGTTGCATAACTGACCTTCGGTGTCTCTGCTGGGGGGACAGGGACACTGACTCACAGCAGGGGCTGGCCTCCCACCCAGCACTACTCAGTCTCTGTGCCTGTGCAGACGGGGTCCCCCCAGACACCCCTAAATCTCCACTTTCCTTACCAGGGGCCACCAGGTGGACGATCGTAATTACTGAGCTGGCAAACTCGAGAGCCGAATGCAAGACTCACAGTTCCCTTCCTGCTGGTACTGAAGACGTGCAACTTAAGACCCCAGAATCCAGGAGTGTCAGGCCTGGGCCACATCTGTACGTTTAGTTTTCACAATGGGCTGAACCTAACGGCTGTCCCACACCTGCTTTCACAACTGCAAAAGTAACTAGCGTGCACAGCAGACCCCAAGCAGCCCCTACGTGTTCATGGAACAACAGGACAAAGAGGACGACACGGCGTTCAACTTACGCTCCAGGTCCTTGCCACGTCCATGTGATGGTGTCCTGGGGAGGAAGAGGCAGGGTCAGTCAGCATGGGGCCTGCACCCAGGGCCTGCACCAAGCACCTGCGTGTGCCGGCCTCTCCCTGCACCTCCCACCCCACAGAGGCGCTGCAGCCAGGGGGAAGGGAGGAGGGTGCTAGAGCTCCAGCTTCCCAGAGTCCCTGAGGATCCAGGACTCGGACCAGCCCCCCAGCCTGAGGTCCCCAGAGCCTCTAAGGACCCAGAGAACCACCACCTTACAGGTCCCCAGAGTTCCCCCAAGATCCCCAGAGTCCCTGAGGACTCAGAGCCCCCTCTTATAGGTTCCCAGAGCCCCTAGAACCTGGGAAAAGGGTCCTCCCTCCCTCCATGCTCTCCGCTTTCCTCACAGACCTGGGGACACCAATTCCAGTGTGCACCCGGGACCCCGGCCCTCTCCTGCCCACCGCTCTCTCCAACTGCTCTGAGTGTTCCCCCAACCACGGTGCATGTGCAGGGCCCCCCCACCCCGGGTGCTCTGAAGTCCCATCTTCAGCCTCAGTGCCGCCGGGCAGGGACCACACAGCAGGGGCCGTGACGGCAGAGGCCCAGACACCGTCACCCTGGGGTGGACCTTCTGCTCCCCTGACGGCTAAGCTAGTGCTTCTTGGTGCATCCAGTAATAGTGTGTTGCTTTAAACACACTGATGAAACAATCTTAAAAGTGGAAAATCTAGATGACTGCACAGATCGGAGTCTGTTGTCCTCGGGTTGACTTTTTTGCCCACAGGAGTTGCACTGGGGCATGGTTTCCGCAGCGGAGGCAGGAAGGGGCCCTTGGCCAGGAGCCTGGCTGACAAACGCACGCCTCAGTAAGAAGGAAGAGGTCTTTCAGTCGTGTGACTACCGGCCCTGACTCCATTTTATTACCTGACCGTCAGCTCTCCGGGCAAAGTGAAGCCCGGCAGGCATCGGACGGGACAGGCCCTGAGGCGGATGGCCCAGAACCCTGGCACCCAGAGGTCACCTGTATTTCTGCCCCACTATGTCCTGACCCACGGGGGTTTTCTTTCAGTGCTTTCCTTTGCCATCACAAAAAGGAACTGCTATAGACGGGAAGCTCGCTGTGATGGGCAGGCCCTCCTCGGTGCTCTCCCAGGTGGGTGCTCCACCAGGAACCTGCAGTGAGCCCAGCACCAGTGGGCTGTGGGGACCTTGAGTCCACCTGGGCCGTCTTTATGCTCCAGGAGCCCATGAAGGGGCAAGGACGTGCGGGAGTCATTGCTGTGGAAGGGGGAACACAGCTGGCACCAAATGAATGCCCTGAGCTCGGCGGCAGGCCTGTGAGGCAAGGTCGCCTAAGTGGGGAGGGCCGATGGAACCGGAAGTATTCTGAGCATCCAAGAGCACCTGGAGGAAGGTGCAGCAGCCACCTTACAGGTGTGGAAACTGAGGCAGGACATGGGCAGGGGCGGGGCCAGGGGGTGGGGCTGCGGCCAGGGGCAGGGATGGAGCAGGGCCTGGGTCAGGGTGGGGTGGGGCGGGGCAGAGCCAGGGCAGGCTGGGGTGGGGTGGGGTGGGCTGGGGTGGGGTGGGGTGGGGCAGAGCCAGGGCAGGGTGGGGTGGGGTAGGGTGGGGCAGAGCCAGGGCAGGGTGGGGTGGGGTAGGGTGGGGCAGAGCCAGGGCAGGCTGGGGTGGGCTGGGGTGGGGCAGAGCCGGGGTGGGCTGGGATGGGGGGAGTAGGGTGGGGCAGGGGGGTGGGGTGTGATGGGCCAGGGCAGGCTGGGGTGGGGTGGGGTGGGGTGTGGTGTGGTGGGCTGGGGCAGAGCCAGGGCAGGCTAAGCCTCCTCCAGAGGTGGCAAGGCCCCATGGGGAACTGCTCTGAGGCCTCGTCCAGACTTTCTCCCAAAGGTGGGGTCTACCACCTTCGCCCCAGGAGCTCTGGACCCCAAACACCTTCTTAATTCTCTTAAACCAAACAAAACCTGGGCACTAAATGATAAAACCACAGAAATGACAAAGTCACCTCCTTTCTCTCCAGCTGCCTCCGCCTTCCAGAACTTAAATGTTCTTAATTTTTAAACTTCCTGGAGCATGAACTGGGTACTGAAAGCTGCTGGGGGCCCTGGCCGGTGATGTGGGGTGGAGGGGTTCCCTCTCCAAAATGTCAGGTTTGGCACACAGAGGAAAGGGCAGCTTTGTCAGGAGCTATGGAAGCAGGGCTCTGGAACACTGGGGACCACTGTGGAATCATGGGGTTGATCAGGGACACGTGCATAGAACAGGCCGCACTCAGGAACGTGCCGAGCCCAGGGCCCGGGCCTGTCCTGCCCTCTCCAGCGCTGAGGCCGGATGGACTCAGCATGGCCAAGTGTGGGCTGTGGCGCAGATAAAGGGTGTGGAGAGACAGAGACACAGGTGCACAGAGGCAGCTCGCAGTTCCCGTTTCCCGGAGAATTCCCCTGGAAGCTGACCCCAAAAAAACACAACTCACCAGTTTATTTGGATATCGTAAAACCACAGGCTGGACGGGCGCTCCAGGGATGAATGCACCTGCCGAGAAAGGAACAGCGGTGTTGCCCATGGCAGCCCACGCAGGACAGCGTCTGCTGCGTTTCTCATGCTGCCCTTGGGATAAAAGTGAGCTTTTCTGTCTAGGCCTTCCTGGTCAGCAAGGGCACTCCATGCCTGGACTATCTCAACATCTGTCCTGACCGTAAACACCCAGCGCCACAGCACGGATGGGCAGGAACATCGGCCAGGGGCGCTCCCCGGCCAAGGAACACTTTCTGTTTTAACATCGCGCACGAGCTGGAAGGCGTCTGTGGAGGGACACTTGCTATTATAACATTGCGCACGAGCTGGAAGACATCCGTGGAGGGACACTTTCTGCTGTAACATCGCGCACCAGCTGGAAGGCGTCTGTGGAGGGACACTTGCTATTATAACATTGCGCACGAGCTGGAAGACATCCGTGGAGGGACACTTTCTGCTGTAACATCGCGCACCAGCTGGAAGGCGTTGGTGGGAAGTGGGGGTCCTCATCACCGGCCAATGCTCACCCACCTGACGGGGTTAGGGTCTGCCCTCACCAAGCACATACACCTGCCTCGGGGCCCCACCCGCCGCCCTCACCTGCCCCTGGGGCTCAGCTCCAAGGACGGGCGGATTTGGTCACAGCTGCAGCAGGACTTGCCCGGGATCTGCCTCTCTCTCTGAGTGGCTGCCACCTGATGGGCTCCCAAGGAATCAGGAGGAGCCCCAGCGAGGCCCAGCTAGAGCCACAGGCCGCAGAGGCTCAGGAACTTCCCCGTTCCCACTGGAATTGTGGCTGTACCCAGCAGCCGCTCCGCCTTCTCACTGGCCGGAGTTGTGCCCTTGCGGGCTGGAGCAAGGCACCATGGACTCTGTGGATGATTGTTTCTATTTTAAATTCTATTTAAATCTCTATTGAAAGAGTTTTTTTTTAACTGGAAAACTCAGGCATCAGAAGTACTCAAGTTTTAGAACAGGACAGGCGGTCTGAGAAGGGCTCCCCTGCCTGGCGACCTGAGGCCAGGCGAGTGAATCCCCAGGCAGCGCGTTCCTCCCAGGCTGCCAGCGAGTGCCACTATGTGGTCAGGAATTTGCGGTTGGTCCTGGCTGCGGGATTCTGCACAATTCTGGGAGAATGGAGCCCATGCTTGCCCCTAGGGCTGCCAGGAGCATCTGTCCCTAGGGCCAATTCTCCCTTCACGGTGGCCTGAGGCCAGAGGCCCGTGTCAGGGCTGAAACCTCGAGCTGACCGCCCAACCCACTCAGCTTTCGTCTCATGCAGGACATCCACCTGCAGCCTTGGTGTCCAGCTGGCACCCCAAGTCCCTGGGCCCGTGTGCCGCAGCTTCCCCTGTGTCCAGGGCTGGGTTGCCCCCTTCCTGCTGTGGGCTCAGCAGCACCTGGGAGCAAGCTCATGCAGTTCACCCAGCACTTCTGTGTGCCCAGGTGGACGGGTGGCTGTGTCAGGGGAGGCGGAGGACGGCAGGGCTGGCACAGACCCAGGCTCAAGCCCCAGCTCCAACGCCCGGCAGCCGAGTCCCAGCCCCTGAGACACGCAGTGTGGAGGAAATAGTCCTCATTGCCTGGGACCGAGCCCAGGAGCTCGCGTGGAGTGCCGAGACCTGCTGTGGGTGATAATGGCTCTGCTGCTACAGCTCAGCCGACCATCCCGACCATGTGTCAAGGGGACATCACTGAAACTCAGTAAGAATCAAAGGAAACCTCAACACCCTGGGGACCTCTCAGGAAAGTCCCCAAGAGCACAGAAACCCCCCATGAGCCTGAAAGGTCAGTGACTTCATGGAAACCCCGGTGGGAAAGTCTGCAGGGGTCTCTGGCCTCCCTAGTCTCCCAGGGGCCCCTGAGGGTCAGCAGCACCCAGACCCCGCCAGCACTGTGCACCCAAGGCAGGCTGCACAAGGGCCAGGCTGGGAGAAACCAAGATGAGGCAGTCAGAGCCCAGGGCTTCTGAATGCAGGAACAAGGCAGAGGGGAGGAGGTACGGGCTTCTAAACTGCACAGAAACCTCCATATTCACACATAGCTTGTGCTGGGCATGGGTCTAACGTCACTAGTTGCAACAATGAGGCTGGAAGATGGCTCAACAGGGACCCCTGAGGCCCCCAGAAGGCCATCACCCCTTATTCACCCTGACCATCCCCCACAGCCCACCCCACAGGAAGAAACAGTCCACCATGGCCCAGGGAGAGCCGTGTCCACATCTGCTCACAGCCTGTGCAGGGAGGCCGCTGCGGCCCAGGGACAGCCACATCCATGTTTGCTCACAGCCCGTGCAGGGAGGCCGGGGAGAGCCACATCCATGTCTGCTCACAGCCCGTGCAGGGAGGCCAGGGACAGCCACATCCATGTCTGTTCACAGCCCGTGCAGGGAGGCCACTGTGGCCCAGTGAGAGCTGCGTCCACTTCCAACAGCCACATTTGGTAGGCCCGCCTCTGCATCCTCGGGCTGTCAGTGCCATCGCTGGGCCCACGCAGCATCCTAGGGCCTTCTCACTGTCTTCGTTCTGCTCTGAGAGCTTGGAGCTGGCAGGCAGGTGGGGTGTGGGCATGTGGAGGGCGTGGGCCCAGGACCTTCCAGGAGGGGTCTCCAGGTACCCAGTCAGCCGATCCTGCTCTAGTGCCCTCTGACAAGGAGGGTGAGTGTGGGCACTGGAGAGGAAGGCCCCACATGGGCCTGTTTCAGGAGCAACTCAATCCCTGCAGAGCCCTGAGGGTCCCAGCCCTGCTGGAACCCACCACATCCAGCAGACCCCACAGGGCTCTGCTGAGCTCTATCACCCCCACCTCAGAGGCGGCACCCCTGGCCTGGGTCAGAACAGGGGGACTCAGGTGGACAGTGCAGCACAGACAAGAGACACTCAGGAGAAAGAAGGCACCTGGGCCCAGGAGGACCCTGCTGGAGGCTCCAGGAGCCTGAGGCTGGAGGCTGGGCCCAATGCGGGAAGGTCTCCGGGGATGAAGGCGGGGAGTCAGCAGTGGTGCCCAAACGGGTGACCCCAGCAACGTGACCCCAACATCAGGCGATGTGATGAAAGGTGGAGGGAGGGTCTGAGTGGGTGGGCCGCCATGGAGCTGGGGCAGCTGGAGCCCAAGGCAGCAGGCAGGTTGTGGGTGCCTCTGTTGTCAGGCTCAAGGCGGGAGACGCTCACGGCTCTGGAGGGCTCCACCACGAGGCGTCAGGATCACGCACCACACACCAATTTCACCTCCAAACAGGAGGCTCCAAACCTCACTAAGAAGTACCCAGCTAAGACGCATGAGGGCCTGAGAGATTCCGAACACGTGACTCGAGGCAGCCGGAAACCCGGGCCTGCAGGTGACACGCAGAACTCATGGCTGGACCCACTGGAAATGGAGACGGGGAAAGGATCAAGCCACCGTGTCATCTCCCCAGACCCCGTGGAACCCACCTGGGGCACAGCGAGCGCCCTTCCTGGACTGCACACAGTGAGCTCCTACTGGGCACCGCCATGAGTCCCCTCAGTTTCGTGATATGCGTTGAGAGGTGCTCACACGCCCTCCTCACGTCTACACAAGGGCCGCCAGCTCCAAAGGGCAAGGCGATGGCCCTCCCCAGGGGCCTCCCTGCAGGCACGAGGCTCCACTCCCGAGGAACACCTGCCCTTGAAGACAGGGCCCAGCAGTGACCCCAGCCCCACACCTTGTCAAGGAACAAGACCTGACGTACTTGCCAGCTGTCTTCTGCCTGGGGCCTTGGAAACACGGCCCACTTTTGGCCTTCACCAAGGTTGCCCACAGGCCACGCCCAGGCACGGACCCAGTGTGGTGGGGGCACACGGATTCGTGGTCACCGCGTGCCGCCTCCACCCTCTGCATCTCTGGTTCTGATCAGAATGACTCAGAACCACGCGTGGTGAAGACAATGGAACGGGAAGACCCAGTACCTTCCAGTGAGCTGCACCTTGAAGCCTCTGGAAGCAAAACCTGCCATCTGCCTGCTGCACCAAGGAGGGTGGAGGGTGAAAGCACGCGCATCTGAGCTGGAGGAGGATGGCCACAGGCTCGGAAACCCCGGCGGCACACGTAGGTGAGTGACTGCACACTTTCTCGACCCAGCTCCCATAAATGTCCAGACACTCAGGTTGTGCGGCCCCAGAGGCACGGCAGCCGGTGCCAGTGTGAGCGAGGAACTGGCTTTTCCACGTGACTCTGATCCAACCACAGAGAACAGGTCTGCATGCCCCAGTATGGACACAGTTGATGAAAGCCACTACTTTCTAAAGTAGCCCAAGGGAGACGACAGGATCCAGGTGGACCCTCTGACACGCCCAAGGGTGTGCAGAATTCCAAACAGACTCAGCGCAAAAAGAACAGTGGACTCTGCTGCCTGCTCACTGCCACACTTCCCACGTCAGGGGTGCAGACACAATACTAGACCCAGGTAACCGCCGCGGGAGAGACCCAAGTTCACACGCATTTGAGTCCCCCCTCCCCAGGGAGAAAGAACACTGTCTAACTGGGGACCTGGGGACCTGGGCATCTGAGGATGGCTCGCAGGGATTTGCACCTGGGATTCCCAGGCGGGTGTGGGGCGTGAGCTGCAGGCCAAGAAGGGTACCCTGAGCCATTCAAAGGCAGTGAGACCCCTTCTGCACCCAGGACCCTCCAGCCTGGACCTCAAAACAGAGGCAAACATCTATCTCCACCTCACTGGAAACGCCCTGAAACCGTAACTTCTCCATCTTCCTGCAAACATGATAATCCTTGACTCACATTCTCAAATTTATTTTGTGACTTTTCTTAGGAATACCTCTAAGAACCCCAGCACACAGGATAAAAACAGAAACTGTTCTTATGTGCACAGCACATTATTAAAAAACATCTCTTTAATATTTTCCTTTTCTCTAGGAGAAAAATAAACATTTAAGAAAACTACATACCAGGTTTGAAGGTAATTAGGCAGGTCCTGTTTGTACAAGTTCCTTCTGGAAAAATCATTATCTGGAAGTGGGAGAAAGAAAAGGATCAGCATTAAACTGTACATAATTATAATTCAGAACTTACAGAAGCCAATCTTCACAATATATTTTCTTTTCTGCTGACATAATTTGGACACTGGGATCATATTCAGTACGTAAATTATTAAAATGCATTATGGAAGCACACACTGATTTCCGCTCTGCTGGTTTTATTAAAGTGTGGCAGCAGTATCAACACATAAACAGCATCTGTCTTCTTCAACTACAGCTCCTGGAAAGCAGGGTAGTCGCGGTGCCCACCTCTCAGACACTGTGAGAACCAGGTGCAACTAAATATAACCCACGGTTGGCACAACATAAGCACCTCCTGGGGGCAGCACTCATTCTCATCAGGAAGAAGGTGGGGAGGAGAGCAAAGACCCACAAATGGCAGTGCCTGGCTGATGGAGCCGAAGGAGGGCTGGGACCCCAGCAACGGGCTGGATGAGCAGGAGAGCCGAGCCCCAGTCAGGCAGCACCCTCCACACCGGGGTTTCAATTCCTCTGACTCACACTGGCCTGCAGTAGCAAAAACTGCCCTCAAACTCCCAGCCCCGCAGGCTGCTTTCAGTTCTGGGCCCCGTGAGGAAGACAGACCTCAGGGGGGCCGGCGTGGGCTCACCCTGGCAAGCCCAGGGCCAGGCAGGCCAAATGGGTGGGGGAGGAGACTGCCTGTGCTTGTGGGGGCAGAGCTGGGGCACCCTGGAAGTCACAGCCCTCTAAGGGGCTGCCCCCAGCCAGACCCTGCAAAGCTTCGTGAGCAATCAGATCCCAGACAGTTCTGTAAAATTTCCAGCTTCTAATGATGGCTCAGCTGGAAAGAAGAAAAACAGCGTCCAAGCTAATGTCAGCCAGGCTGCCCCTACAGCTGGGTTCAGGGCTTCTGAATGCCTGGGAACCAGCATACAGACCAGGAAGTTTACTCCAGGACTTTTAGAACCACCCAACACACAGCAGGCTGACACATCAACTCCAAAATCACACTGCACCAGGAGGGCGGGTGAGCAATGCTCTATCTGAGTCAGAACTTAGTTCAGAAAAGATGATTCAGGAAGCTGAGATGCATTTGAGAATTGTTTTTCTTTACTTTAACTTTAAATTTCGGGCACCGAAACCAAATGCACCTGACAGCACCCTCCTGAGTTCACGCACTCACTAGGAGAAGAGAATCAGAATCCAGCCCCGGAGGAAGGGCCCCAGTTTCTTTCTCCCCACTCGCGAAGTTCGCATCTTTCGGAATAAAACCACTGAAACACAATCAGGGCTACGTGCATTACCTGTGGCCACTTTCCGTTGGACTGCGCCCGTCTCTTGATTTCTTCTACTGTTTTCCTGCGAGAATCCTGGTCTGACCGGGACACGAACACAGGCCGTATATACTGGATCAGAGCTGGAAGAGAGGAGGGGAGACGGATCACGTGGAATGCACGGCTCCCGCCAGGCAGGGCTGAGGAACGAGGGGGCTGCTGCATGGCGCCCAGTGGGGCGGGAGACTCCAGATGCCCCAGGGGCTGTGCCATGGGTGGGCTGTGAGTCCCTGACTGAGGGAACGGGAACAGCACCCGGGCTTCCCATGTCTGTGACAGCAGGAAGCCCTGTAGCCTCAGTGCCACAAGTAACAAACAGCAAGTCCATGGCACCCACTGAGGACACGGAGCACAGAACGGAGGTCAATGAAAGACAACCGCCAGGAAGCAGAAAGTCTTTAGACCCAGTCTTCACAGAGGACAGGGTTGAAGGTGCCAGGTCCCTAGATTGGACCCCGCCTTCCCCCTGTGGGTTGAACTGCATCCCCTAAAAGACAAGCTGAAGTCCTCACTCCTGGTACCGGGAATGGGACCTCATTTCGAAACAGGTGGTAGCAGATGCTCAAGGTCCCGGATGAGGGTCCCTATGGGAAGAGGAGACAAAGCAGATGCTCAAGCTAAAATCCCAGATGAGGGTCCCTATGGGAAGAGGAGACGAAGAGGGGGAGAGAAGGCCAATGATGAAGGAGGCCATAGGAGGATGTGGCCACAGCCCCCACCACGAGCCGGGAGGGCCGAGGGAGCTTTCAGAAGAGCCCAATGCGGCCAGCACTTTGTTCTGGCACTTCTGCTTTTAGACGGCGGGAGAATATGCTCCTGTTGTTCTAAGCCACCAGCTTTGTGGTGCTTTGTAGCACAGCCCCAGTTTAACCATGGCACCCCACAGCCTCCTGGAAGTTGCGGGGTTGGGGTACAAGGGACACCCCGCCATGAAGGCTGGTGCTCAGCCAAGGCAACGTGGCCACGGCACCTGTCTTTATGCAAGAGGATTGAACGTGGAAACATACTTCTTAGAAGAGAAAACTCTGAAGACTTTAAAATGAAACTATCCCTGAGTGGAGCTTCCTTTTTGAGGACGGTGAGCAGGATCCACACTCGGCGCCCCCCAGGCCAACTGAAGGTGTCTCTGACCCCACCACGGGCTCCTAGGCTGCTGCAGGTCAGCCCCACCTCCCCACCCCAGTTCAGTTTCCAGTTTCTTTTCTTAGCGTTTTTATTACTTGTAAGGAGTAGCATTTCATGACTTTTATTCTTTCTTGGAGGTTCTCTCCTCCAAGAACGAGAAAATTGAAGCCAAAAAAAGAAAATTCCTTCTATCCTGTGGTTGTCTGTTGGGTCTCTGTGGTCTTTCCTATGTCTTGAATCATTTTGCTTTTTCACGATTCCAGTACTATTTCATCCTTGCTCATTGGTTATTCCCAACTCTGCTAAAAAGGACGATATCGGAAGGGAAGAATGGCGGAGTCGTCTCGCAGGATGGCGCACGCGTCAAAGAAATGGCCCTGATTGCGTGGTCTTTCGGTGCCCACTGTTTTGGCCAAAGCGTCCCATGGTCGTCCCGGGGCACACGGGGTCTGGAGATGCCACCCTGCCACCTTCGCAATCCTGTCAGCTGGTTTGTTTTGTGAACAGAGTAGAGATTTCAGAAGTTGTCTATAACGGCAAAGAACAGAACAGTGACGTGGGGGCGTTTCACACTCAGATGGGTCCGGGGGTAAATGTGGGGGGTGCAGGGGGAGGACTCTGAGTGAAGTCTTGGGCCGTGCGTCTTCATGTGGGTTGCCCGGTGTGCCTTTCACGCTGAGAACTGGGCAGTGAGGACAGCAAGGAGATGCAGCTCCTCCCCGGGAGCCCTGAGGAGGGAAGGGTGTCACCACGCCGTGTGCACAGCCACACTGGGACTGGCGCATTTTGCCAGCAAGAAGGTGACAGCGTTCTGCCGTCTTTTGGGCATTTGAGGCTCAAACTTTCCTTGACAAGGTTTGTAAATGGATGGTGCGGATATGAAGGTCACTGAAAGGAAACTAAGAATGTGAAAAGGAAAAAATCTACCTGGTTGATCACTTTCATTGGTATTCATACATCTAAAAATGAAAATATTTTGAACATTTTCAACATTCATCTCTTCAACAAAGTTGTGAGCTGTCAAAGGGTCCACGAAAGGAACCAGAAGTCACCACAAGCTGGGACCGGGGAGATGTCTCTGAGCTGGAAACCTGGGAGACGTCTCTGAGCTGGGACCAGGGGAGATGTCTCTGAGCTGGAAACCAGGGAGATGTCTCTGAGCTGGGACCATGGGAGATGTCTCTGAGCTGGAAACCAGGGAGATGTCTCTGAGCTGGGACCAGGGGAGATTATCTCTGAGCTGGGACCACGGGAGATGTCTCTGAGCTGGAAACCTGGGAGATGTCTCTGAGCTGGGATGGGGGAAGATTATCTCTGAGCTGGGACAAGGGGAGATGTCTCTGAGCTGGAGCCTGGGGAGATGTCTCTGAGCTGGGGCCTGGGGAGATGTCTCTGAGCTGGGGCCTGGGGAGACGTCTCTGAGCTGGGGCCTGGGGAGACGTCTCTGAGCTGGGACCTGGGGAGATGGTTTTGAGCTGGAGCCTGGGGAGATGGTTCTGAGCTCCCGAATCAGAGGGTGCTCCAGGTGCGCAGTAGAGGAGTCATCAGCCACGCCCCAGGACAATGGCCCTTTCAGGCCAGGACAGCAGGGAGCAAAATGTGGTTCCTGCTAAGTCTGAATTCTAACGAAAATTTCTGATAAGCTTGTCACTATCCTCTCCCTCGCAGGTCCGTGGATTATCTCTGAAATGACAAGAAACACGCAGGGCTCCACGAGGGCCCTGCACACAGCAGCATGGCTGTGGCCATTCTTCCTGCTGCGCCGAGATGAAGGTCAGTGCTGGGTCACCTGGGTTGATCTGGAAGAGGTGGAATCCCGGGCCTCTAGAAAGATAGGACTACAACGTCCAGCATCACCGCACCAAACACTCCTTCGTGTTGGTGATCTCCACAGGGAGGCACCAAGGGCACAGGGAGAGCCCGGCCAACGCTCAGATTCACTCTGGGTGGGCCAGCCCCCCTGTCCAAGGACCCCTGCAGCTGCGAGGGTGCCTGGGCACACAGCTCCACAATCCCCCTCCCTGAGCAGATGACGAACGACCATGGGCCTTTGCCACAGTGGGGGGGCAAATGTGGTTTCCTGGGTATGCCAGAACCACAGGATGCAAAGGGTGCTGAGTGGAGCTGGGGCTGCCCCATGAGCCTGTGGAGCTTGCAGAGCGGGGAAACCTGCGTGTGAGAGCCAAGGCCATCACTCGGATGGTGCCTGCAGTCCAGTCTCGCCTCCAGTGCCGGCCTGTCCAGCCTCCTCCAGGCTTCCCCAGCCAGCCGAGTGCAGTGAGCCCTCCAGTCCCACCAAGGACCATCCCCGATTTCCAAGCCTGACCCAGGCAGACTCAGGCCACCCACAACTGCCCAGCTGCAGGCACAGTCTGGACACCTTCCGGCTGCTGCAGGCCCAATCCCCCATGGGCCATGCCAGGGTTCCTCACCCCACTTCCAGCCTTCCTATCCCAGCTGTGGCCACCACCCTCAGTGGTCAGCACCACAGAATGTGTCCCCACCCAGTCCATACTGAATGTGTCCCCCCAGATATTTTCTAGAAAACTGTCATATGAATGCTAACGTTAGGTGCTGCATGGAAACAGAGCCGGCAGGAGTGGCCAGGTGAGGGCCCCGGCCATAGGCGACGCCCCTCGTCCCAGCAGCTCCTTCCCTCAGCACCGCCCACTGCCAACCCAGGACCCGCTGTGCCCCAGAACGTGCTGTGCTGTGCTGATGGCGGCTGTGAAGGAAGCACGAGGACAGAACGGGCCCAGATGCCCTGAAGAGCACCGAGGACAGAGCTCTGGTGGGTCAGGGCTGCGCACAGGTGGGTGAGGGGCCACGCAGGGCTCCCTACAGTCCTCCCAGAGCAGTGGGTCCATGGGATGCGGCCCCCAAAGATGGGTCCACATGCTGACCCTGGAACCTGTGAATGAGGCCTTATTTGGAAAAAGGTTTTTACAGAGGTAACTCGTTAAGGATCTCAAGATGAGAGCATCCTGGATCACCCAATGACTGGTCCTTATAAGAGACTCATAGAGGAGACACTTGGAGGGAGCCAGGCCAGTCGACCACTGAGGCAGAGTCAGAGGGACGCAGCCCCCAGAGGAGGAAGAGGCAGGAAGGGGCCGCACAGGGCCTTCGGCCCAGAGACGCCTTGATTTTGAACATCTGGTCCCCAGATGACGAGAGGGTGAATCTCTGCTGGAGTGAGCCCCCGGCTTTGGGGAGGGGTCATGGCAGCACCAGGTGCTCAGGTCCCTGGTTCACGGCACAGCCGCGGTGCATGGGCAGCCCTGCCGACCTGCTCCCAAAGACTTCCAGAACTGCCATCTGATAAAGGTGAGCCACCCTTGCCAAGCAGACCTGGAGCAAGCACTGTAGCCTGTTATGATAGTGAGGGCACTCAGGTAGCAATAAAAATAACAATTACAACAACGAAAATTACACAGGAAACCCCAACACAGAAAATGGGGCACAAGGCCAATGTGCCCGGCGGTGGGGGCTCGATCACTCCCAGCAGCGTGGTGGGGGGGGGGTCCCTCACTCCCGGTAGGGAGGGTCTCACTCATTTCCAGCAAGTGGGGGTCCCTCATTCCTAGCAGGGAGGGATCTCTCATTCCCAGAAGGGGGGGTCCCTAAAAACCAGCAGGGAGTCCCTCATTGCCAGCAACAGAGGGGGTCTCACTCATTCCCAACAGAGGGGGGACCCTCACTCCCAGCAGGAGGGGAATCTCTTATTCTCAGCAGCAGGGGGATCTCTCACTCCCAGCAGGGCAGGGTCCCTCACTCCCAGCAGGGGTGTCTCACTCACTTCCCCAGATCGGGATGTCTCTGCTCTCTGCCTTCATCACGATGGAGGACATCGTCATGGTCACAGGGATGGCGTCGAAGTAGGACGAGTGAGGCGCGAGCGTGAGGATGGCCGCCTCGGTGGGCAGCGCCTGCCGCCCCTTCACGGCCACCCGGTGGAAGCCGCCGGCGAACCACATGGTGCGCATGATGGCCTTCAGCAGGAAGTCCACAACCCTGCAAAAGAGGGCGCTGCGTCACGCGGGCACACGTCCGCAGTCTCGGAGTCTGTGTGAGGCACAGGGGCGGTCCCACGGGAGAGCCCTCCAGGGCGCAGTCCAGGCCACGGGCTTCCTGTGGTCGCCGCCGCTGGGACATCTGCTTGAGGGAAGAAAAGACGCCGCGCCTTCCTGGCCTCCGCCTGTGTCCTCGCTGGCTGCGCTCTCACCTACGAAGGAGGCCGCGGGGCCCTGTGTGGTGGTCACGGGCCACGCGGCAGGCAGTGCTAAGACAACATGAGACTCCGGAACACAGACAGCACAAGTCCCAGGCCAGAAGACCTCCGGACCTTCATGTTAGCAACTTATTTATCAGCATCCTATCATTTTGAAATGGGAAAAACATTAAAACACCTAAAACGCATATCGCAATATGGGGGGGGGGGCGCTCAGAGCTGAGGGCGGAAGCTGAGACCTGCGTGCGAACTTCCCCATCTCATCTCCACAGGAAGCCCGGGGTTCCCACAACCAGGCGTTGTGTTATTACAGTGAGCTGTTTCTGGAGGAAATTAGATGGCCAATAAATTTGGAAAATAAAGTAAAAATCAGCCTAGGTTAACTGAATTTGTGTACTCTTTATCTCTTTTTAAAATAGGTACAAATTTAGCCTTTTAAATGTGTGTATTCTCTTTCATATGAGGCTACAGATTAGGCTGTTATTCCACACCTCAGGGAATTGACACGCAGCAGACAGCCACGGTGTGTGAGAAGCCACAGGTCAGGCACACAGAGAACATGATTCAGCCTCATGAGAAGCCACGGCTCACTCGGCCACTGGGTTAAGTGGGCGCATCACACTGGGTAAAACTACTGCACAGAGAAACAAGAGCCTGAAGCCTTACTGGATTCACATTGCCCTGGGACAGATGATCCTCCCAGAAGACTTCCAGGACAGGGGTCCCCATGGATCTGAGCCAAGGCGGTTGCTAGGAGGGCACAAAGCCTCCTCTCGTGGGGCCACCTTGGAATGGCCTTTGTGTATGCGATGATAAACAATGGTGTAGTTACACATGGAGATGCTGGGGACCAACCCAGGGTGCTGCTTGTCTAGAGGAGGGGGGATTACACAGGTGTGCACTTCTTCACCACCTGTTCAGCTGCATATTTAAAAATGTACTTTTCTGGCCAGGCATGGTGGCTCACGCCTGTAATCACAGCACTTTGGGAGGCCAAGGCAGGTGGATCACTTGAGGTCAGGAGCTCAAGACCAGCCTGGCCAACATGGTGAAACCCTGTCTCTACTAAAAATACAAAAATTAGCTGGGCATGGTGGCAGGCGTCTGTAATCCCAGCCACTCAGGAGGCTGAGGCAGGAGAACTGCTTGAACCCAAGGGGCGGAGGTTGCAGTGAGCCGAGATTGCGCCACTGCACTCCAGCCTGGGCAACAGAGTGAGACTCCATCTCAAGAAAACTAAACTAAAAAATAAAGATGTACTCTTCTGTGCACATGTTATTTTCCACAAAAAAAAAAAAAAAGTACAAAAACAAAAGCCAAAAGACAGCAATTGATGCCTAAGATGGAAGAAACAAGGCAGCGGCGGAGGGAGAAGCGAGGCTGCAGAGGAGGCTGCGGCGGGCACAGGAGCCAGTCTCGGGCAGGTTCAGGGGCAGGAGAGAGGACAGCAGGAAAAAAGGGATTAAAACCCGGGCGGCCCTTAGAGGAACACACCTGCCAGCCCCGAAATCGAATTGCAGGGACAGACGGTGCTCAGGGGAACTGTACTGGGTGTCGGGGCAGGGAAAAAGCAGCCTCAGCTCTTCTCTAAAGATCTTGGAGGAATTTTATACCCAAACTATCCACATGTGAAAACCCGGACTGCTGGTGTGGATGACAGCCTCAGAGAAAAGCTCCGCTTGCTGTGGGGTTGGGGACCCAGCACCCACTCACCCCAAGGCAAAGGGAGCCAGCACAAGCCCAGGGTGCTCAGGTGCCTGGGCAGCCCATTCCCAGGGGAATGTGAATCAGGAGACAGATCTATCTGCATACACAGGAGCGGGGATCTCCATCAGCACCCCCAGGAAATCCACTCCGTCCTACCGCCCTCACACGGACGACACCCAAGAATCCTGAGACGTGTGAGCAGAGCAGCTGCATGGCAGAGAAGCAGAGGACTGACCCCAAGGAGACAGAAAGGGTGGGCATCAGAAGAGGGGTGCAAAACATCCACCACGCTCGCCAAGAGAGTCTGGAAGAACAGGGCGCTGAGGAGCATCAAAGAACAAGAAAACACTCTCAGAAACCAAGACTGTCACTGTGGAGACAAGCAACTCACAGGAAAGACTGGGAAATGAGGAGGAGGAAATCTCCCAGAACATGCAGGGGGAAAAGGAGGAAGGCCGCTGAGGCCTGCATCTCCTCAAGCCAGCTGGCATGTGGAGGTGGGTGGGGGAAGCCCACACGTCTAAGCGTGAGGGGCAGGCGCAGGCCCCGGCTCTGCAGGTTCCAAATGTTCTGCTGTGAGCAGAGGCAAGAGGCAGAGTGGAGCCGGCCCTGGAGAGGACCTATACACATGTACACAGCCTGAGTGCTGGCTACGGTGCCAGGCCGGTGGGGTAGGGCAAAGGAAGGGGCCCTGGGGCCACGTCTGGCGGGGCTTCAAGGAGGCAAGTCTGGTGATCCACGTGGACTGGCTTAGCTGGGTCAGGGACGGCCCCTGGGTGGCTGGTGGGAGGGCTGTGTTGGGCTGGCAGGTGTGGAGGGGCAGCCCCAGGCTGAGACGCAGGTGGCAGGAGCTGCTGGCTTCTGGGAGACCAGATAAAGTGGTTTGATGCTCAAGTTCAAGCTCCAACCTCCAGGCCAACATACGGGGAGTACCTAGAGTCATCATGGGGATGGCATCCCCAAACTTGGGAACAGGTGTTCCCACACAGAGCATTCAGGAAAGGGCACCATCCATCTGAACCATCCGGTCAGCCAAGGGGCAGCCCCTGGAGGACCTGGCCCAGCTCAGGACTTGGCCCGTGGTCAAGGATTCAGCGCCAGATGGTCGGGTTTTGCAAAACGATGCTACGGTTTTTACAACACTGTGTGTGTTGAAAGTAACCTAAAATAGTGCCTTTTGCGAAACTGTGTCATTCTTTCACTGAAAGCCTAAGATTTTTATTTTAGGAAGGTTTGAATGACACTAACTTACATTCAGCAAAAATGCTTTAACTCAACATCAATCTATTCAAAACTGCAGAGCAGTGCATAACGTGAGCCAACTTAAGTCCCAAACCGACTACGTAATTATTATTCAGCGGTACACTCTGAATCTGCTACTTCAAATTCAGTTTCCTCCTGATCCCTTACGTCCCTAACTACGGTGCTTTTGTGACTAGGTTTCCCCTTGGGGAGTTCAGAATTCAGGGTTTGTTCTCTCTTCTGTTTCCCTTCAAGCACCAAGCCAAGCCCAGGACTGTGCACCAAGGGAGCTTTCATCAGTGCTGCTGAAGGAGACGCCAGGGGCTCCAGGGGTGGGATTCAATGCCAGGCAGCACGGGCAGCTTGAGTGCCCACAAGCATCCGTGCATACTCCCACACATGCACACATTCACACACATACACAGACATCGCTCTCATATATACTCACATGCACACACACACTCATACATATGTACACACATATACTCTCATACACATATGTACATACATCATACATATGTGGACACCTGTACACACGTACACTTGCACATATACACACATACATGTACACAGAGACACAACACTCATACACATGTACATACTGTCATACACGTACATGTATGTGCACACGATACAGACATCCATCCACACATATATACATGCACTCACATGTACACACATGCAACACACACAGGTACACAGCACACACATATACACATGTACACACTCATATACATACTTGCACTGGTGGCTCACATACACACAGTAATGCAACCACATGCCTATGCACGTGTACCTACTCCCGTGCATGCACATACATATGTATGCACACTCACATGCGCATATGTACACACATACACACCCTCTCTGCACACATACACAGAATGATACACAGTGAGTCTCCACAGACCCAGATGCCCAAAGATCTCATGAAGCAGAGGTGACAGAAACCCCAACGTGTCACTGTCACGGGACACTTCACACGTGCATGAGATGTACATATGAAAGCGTCTCTGAAGTACAGCTGCTAGAATAAGAGTCCGTTGTGGTCCATTTATCGCCTGTTGAAGCCAAGTCAATTATTCACAGACAAGAAAAGCCACCAGGGTTAGCATGGGGAAACGGAAAATTGCCCCAAGCCATCTATTTTGAAAAGTGAGAGCCTGTGCTCGCACGGGGCTCCTGCCTCCTGAGACAGAACAGAGGAGGCGGGGAGCTCGGCCCAACAAGGACATGGGGAGTAAAGAGAAAGGGTGCCAGGAAAGCACCACGAAGCCATTGCTGCCCACAGCACCACATTCAGCCAGGTCACCTGCAGCCTGCTTCACACTACAGAACCCCCACTTTCTAGCTGTGGCTTCTCAACTCAGCAAAACTGAAAGCCTGACTTTGATTTGGCCTTGATTTACTTTGCTTGGTTATATATTTGATACCCAATTCCTATTTTATGGTTAAAACGTTTCAAAAACAAACCAAGATAAAGCATAAGAGAATTTTAAAAATCTAGAAAGGCTAAATGAAGAACTAAAGCCCGTGATGATCCTGTTGCCCCTAAAGAACCCAGGCTGCCCCAGGTCACCACTACCCAGCAAGCTGCTCAACGTCCACCCACTCAGCAGGGCCCAGAGTGAGGGACCCCCAACGCCCAGGCTGCCCTCTCCTATGACTGCACCATGTCTGCACGCAACGGTGCGGCAAACCCGGGACCCTAAGTGGCCGTCTTCCCCCTGCACCTAACTGCATGTCTGAGTGTGGCCCTGGGTATCAAGGAGAACCGAAGCTCAGGCAGATGTCAGCTCCCATCAGCCTCTTGGCCGTGAAAACTTTGCTGTACATACAGCCCACAGATCAGACACCTTCCAGAGAAAGGAGGGGCCTGGGCGTGCCCATTACACCTTTCGGAGGCCAGGCAGTGAATGCTTTAGGCTCTACAGCCACACGGCCTCTGTCCCAACCACTTGGCCCGGTTCCCCACCAATGCAGCCCTGAACATCACGCAGGCCAGCGGGCGTGCCCGTGCTCCAGTAAAACTTTACTTATAGTCAGGCAGCAGCCTCCAATTAACTACTAATATTCCTGTTTCTGAATAAAAGATTCAGGGAGCCCCTCCAGAATGATGAGAGATGTTAACAACACATGGAAGGGTTGTCAGAGCTGTGGTTATAGGACACGCGTGGTAACTTTTAAGATACTGAAAATATTTATCAAAGTATTTATGATATCTCAACATTTTCATTTGCTAATGGCAGATACTTTCAGTGAAAGCACAGCTTTAGGAATTTAAATGAAACAAGAAAATATTGTGATTTAGTTTAATTTTTTGTGGTCTGTTTTGGATCTTTAGTTTAGATGTATTCCTCATCGGGTAGGTGTGCTTTATTTATATTCCGTGCTTAAAAGCCAGGAAGAGTTTAGGTCCACAAAGCAAGGGAAAGACGGCCCTGGAGGGGTGGTGCCAGCAGGCAGCAGGCCAGGCCAACGTTGGCTGACATGCAGTCTCGGAGGGCGGGGAAGGACCCGAGCCTCCTGTCCGAAGGCAGGGCTGGGCCTGGCTCCAGCCAGTTGCTGGCCCTGGGGAGCAGGCCCACTGGCCGGAGCTTCTGCTTTTCCAAGACTGGCCAGAAATGGGGATTTTGATGTCAAGTCACTGGGCCTTTATGATGCGGCAACCTGTTCCCACTTAGCCCAATTTTAATAAGACCAGGTTGGCAGGAGATGCCATGGTGGCCACCTGCCCCCCGAGCAGCCGTTCCCCTCATTGCTGCTGCTCTCACACCTGGAAGATGGCCCCTCCCGGGCCCACGGCACCCGCACCAGGTCCAGCTGCCTCTGCATGGGGGCCACTGAGGCAGGGACCTCCCTAGGCAGGAGGCCTGTGTCACTGTGGTGCCCTGTCACTGCAGCCCAAGAGGCCGTCCACTCACAGCCTGAGGGTCTGGGGGAGGCCACCATGGGCAGGGCCAGAGCTGAGGGTCTGAGGTGGGAGGGGTAAGGGGGCTGGCAGTCACAAAGCCAGGAGAGGGTGTCCAGAAGCCTGACTTTCGTCAGCAACAGGGAGCCCCAGCAGGTTCTGGAGCAGAGAAGGCTACGGTGTAGGGGGGTCTCTGTGCTCAAGGGTGTGAAACAATGGCCACACATCCTGCAGACCCCTGGAAAATGAAGCCTCAGAGCAGGACTGTGGCGGAGGCGTGGAAGACAGAGGCAACGGGGAGGTGGCCGAGTCCCCACTGGCAGGGGGCAGCCCTGGTGGACGCTGGGCTCAGAAGGGAAGGACAGATGGGCTAGGGTGGAGACACACAACCCCACTGTGAGAATGGGTTCCCACTGTTTGGCCGCGTGACCCCCCCCCAGGAGGAGAGCACGGCACACGCGCAACTTACTTCCTCCACAGGGCCGGGGGCTGCTCGGGTTCCTTCTCCGCAGAGCCCAGGGATGCGACAAGTGCGAGGGGCCAGGCCAGCAGCATCATGGCAGCGGCAACCAGGAGCCGGACCGGGAAGAGCGTCAGTGTCATGAGGGCCACCTGCAGACAGAGGGGGGCATTATCCAGAGAATCCATGTAGGACACCAGGCAGCTCCCCACCCGGCAGAGGCTAGCCCAGGGGGACAGCGCGCCCCACAGAGTGGAGAGCTGGGGAGGGGCTGCAGCTGGCACACAGCTGACCAAGGCTGACCAGCACTGACCGAGGCTGACCAAGGCTGACCGAGGCTGACCAGTGCTGACCGGCGCTGACCAAGGCTAACCAACACTGACCAGCACTGACCAAGGCTGACCGGCACTGACCAAGGCTGACCAACATTGACCGGCACTGACCAAGGCTGACCGGTGCTGACCAAGGCTGACCAACACTGACCGACACTGACCAAGGCTGACCGGCACTGACCAAGGCTGACCAACACTGACTGGCACTGACCAAGGCTGACCAACATTGACCGGCACTGACCAAGGCTGACCGGTGCTGATGCCGACCAGCCCTCACCATGGCTGTGGACACTGGCCAGTGCTAACTGACATGCTCCACACCCACTGCCCGCTTCCTGCCTCCTTACTGGAGCTGCCATGCGAGTGGCTTGGGAAAGACACAGTGGAGCTTCCTCCTGCAAATTCAAGGGCCACTCTGACGCACAGCACACAACCCCAGGCAGCTCCACCCCGCAGGACGCACCCCCAGGCAGCTCCGCCCCCCAGGACACACCCCCAGCCCCGCAGGCCTCACTCAGCAGTTTCCCCTGAAATCGTTTATGTGGACATGAGAAAGCATACGCCACCCTAGGCAGTGTTGGTGACAGGGGGAGGTAGCTGGCCTGCAGTTTGCAAGGTTGGACCTCAGACCACAGAGAAGACGGCAGAATGAAGGTGTGACTTTCCAGTCAATGGAAGACCCGGCGCAGGAGAGTGAACTGGCGGGAGGGCAGGGGCGCAGGTCAATATGGGGGCTCAGGAAGGCCCCCCAAGCCAGGGCAGGCCCCCACGCCAGGGAAGGCCGAGGCTGCGGGATCCCAGGCAGCCCAGGGTCTGAGGATGGAGGTCCCTCCGGGAGGCGGGCAGGACTCCGTGTAGAGGGGCGGGAGGCTTTGGGTGAGGGGAAACACCAGTCCTGAGGTGCAGGTTTAGTGCAGAGACAGAAAAGACCCAGGAGACACAGATCGCAGTTGGCTCCCCAAGCAGCAGCCATCCCTAATTTCTGATGCCTGTCATGAGAGCGCTCCCACTCTGTTTCCTTGGTTTGTCCCTAGATTCTTTTGAGTTCTCAACGGAGACCAGCATAGCCCAAGAGAAACATGCCTGCCACATGTGTCATTTTAAATTTTCGAGTGGCCACATTTAAAGGGAATGACAATTTAATATACAGCTCATTTCGCCCGGTATATCTGAAATACCATTTCGACACGTACTCAACGTAGAAGTTGCTACTGGCTAGTTTGCATTTTCTCCCGCTGTCTTGGATTGTGCAGTGTGCATTTCACTCTCACAGCTTTATGCCACCTGTGTCTCCACCCTGTCAGTGCCCAGTGGTCAGGTCAGCCTGTTGGGTACGCAGATCTAGATGATGTTTGGTTTGCGAGAGATGACGACCTCTAATTTGCCTCCCCTTCCCCGCTTCTGGGGGCTGCTCCTCACCCCAGCTGGGTCCCCGCTTCAGCATCACACTCGCTGCACCAAGCAACCACAAATCTGTTATCCCGCCATTGGTGACGATCGTCACTGTTCCACATCGTGTTACTGGCATTCAGCAAACGTTCTTTACTGCTGAGAAACCTTCCCAGGCCTCATCCTCCACGAGTTTTGTTTTGCTTTAAATCATGAACGGGTGCTGAGCTTTATCAGAGGTGCTTCCTGCATCTGTGGGGAGAGCCACGTGCTGCACCCCACTTGAAGCCACTAACATGATGCCTTACGGCCACGGTCTCTCTAATACTGAAAGCTAGCTTCAGCGCTGTGCAGCTCCCTGTTAGGATTGTTTTTTAAAAGGAATTGCTAGGTCTGTTGGCCACTGTCACCAGCTGTTAAGTAAGACGCGCCTGTCCGCTCCTGTCACTTCCTCCCAGCGGCTTCCTCGTGCAGTCGCCCTACGAAACCAGCGTGCACCCATGCCTGCCGGCAGCTCCTGACCGTTGCTTCACTGTTTCCAACCCTACTGTTTATAGAGTCCCTTTTTTTTTGGGTTGACTTCACTGTTTTTGTCAATGGGGAAGTCTCTTCCTGGAAGCTTTTGGCATATTTTTCCCTCCCGCTACCAAGGTCTCCTCCCAGCTGCCTTTAAGATAACAGTGAAGTTGCCCGCCACACTCTCCTTGGGTTCACACCAAGCCTGCTCTCTGGTTTCATTTCTAATGTTATCTGTGTCTGCCAAAACTTCTAAACCTACGTTGCCAGATATTTTTCTATTTTATCAGTCTTCTTACAGAACCATCTCAGATTTGTTCATTCTCTCTGTTGTGACCTAATCATATTAATTTTGGCTCTTATTAGTTCCTCTTTCTTCTGCTTTGAATTTAGTCAAATATTCTTTTCAACTTTTTGAGGGAAAAGCCCACTTTGTTATTTTCAGAAATACCTTATTTCCTGATAGTCACATTTAGAACACAGCTCCCCCTAAGGACCACCTTGATTTAATCCCACAAGTCTAAGGGGCAGCCTTTTCCTTTATTTGTAAAATTTAGTTTTAAATATTTCATCCATTCCCATCTACTGTTACTGTTTCATATTTTGTTGCAGTGGAGGAGAGCGCAGCGGAGGAGACCGTAGCCTCGGCCTTCAGCCCACCTGGTCCCGGGGCTCCAGGGCCACTGGCTGGGAAGAGGCCACTCTGCAGTGCACAAGCCTGGCTCTGCTGTTAAAGCCGACAGCTAGGCAGGGCGTGGTGGCTCACATCTGTAATCCCAGCACTTTGGGAGGCCAAGGTGGGAGGATCGCCTGCGGTCGGGAGTTCGAGACCAGCCTGACCAACATGGAGAACCCATCTCTACTAAAAATACAAAAGTAGCCGGGCGTGGTGGCGCATGCCTGTAATCACAGCTACTCTGGAGGCTGAGGCAGGAGAATCACTTGGACCCGGGAGTCAGAGGTTGTGGGGAGCTGAGATCGCGCCATTGCGCTCTAGCCTGGGCAACAAGAGCGAATCTCCGTCCCAAAAAAAAAAAAAAAAAAGCCGACAATAAGTTACTGGGTAAGTTTCTTCTTCCCATAAATTGTTCTTAGAACTTGTTGCCTCCCTGGGCAGACGCCATGAAGTGTGATAACCAGCACTAAGAGAAAGTCTCAGGAAGTTCCCCGGTCTGACCCTGGGGCCACGGCAGCCTCTGCCCACAGCCTGCTTCAGTCCACCTCTGGTGCTGCAGCCAACTCTGCTACAACACTGCTTCCACCAGAGTGTGGAATAAAATCACAGTAACCCACGCTGTTCCTGAAACAGCACCGACTGCAACACTGCTTCCACCACAGGGTGTGGAATAAAATCACAGTAACCCACGCTGTTCCTGAAACAGCACCGACTGCAACACTGCTTCCACCACAGGGTGTGGAATAAAATCACAGTAACCCACGCTGTTCCTGAAACAGCACCGACTGCAACACTGCTTCCACCAGAGTGCGGAATAAAATCACAGTAACCCACGGTGTTCCTGAAACAGCACCGACTACAACTGCTTCCACCAGAGTGCGGAATAAAATCACAGTAACCCACGCTGTTCCTGAAACAGCACCGACTGCAACACTGCTTCCACCACAGAGTGCGGAATAAAATCACAGTAACCCACGGTGTTCCTGAAACAGCACCGACTGCAACACTGCTTCCACCACAGAGTGCGGAATAAAATCACAGTAACCCATGGTGTTCCTGAAACAGCACCGACTGCCAGGCCATTCCATATGGGACCACCCACTGGGAACAGCTCCGGGGCTGGGGGAGCAGCGCCCCATCCCCAAACAACACGGGGCATGAATGAGCCCTGGGTGGGGAGGCCCCGCCTGCATGCCGGGTAGGGTAGTCAGGCTGCTGGTTCCTTAGCACATGGGGTTCGCTGGGCCAGCCAGTGGGGGGATGCACTGTGAGACCACGTGACCCTCGGCTCGCGCACCCCCACGCCTGCTCCTGCGCACATAGGGAAGACTGGGCGACCACCTGAGCCTCGACTTACACATTCCTGCACCTACTCCTTCGTGCATGGGTTAGACTGCATGACCACCTGACCCTCACCTCACACGTCCATGCATCCATGCACCTGCTGCTTCGTGCACGGGGAGGACTGTGTGAACAAGCGACCCTCTGCACCAGCTCCTTCCTCTATGGGAAAGAATGCCTGACCACGTGACGCTCCCCACCAGTCAGTGCACCTGCTCCTGTTGGTGTCCCAGAAGACTGCGTGACCATGTGACCCTCAGCCCATGCACCCTTGTGCCTGCTCGTGGTGCATCAGGGAATGCGGCCCACACTTCTGAGCTTAGCAGCAGCAAGGAGAGGGGCCTGTGGGCCACAGTTGCAATCGCTGATCCTCGGCAAACAGGGCTGATGAGGGGAGGGTGGAGAGGGAACATGGCCAGGGAGGAGCTCCCCAGGCCTCCAGCAGATGGGGAGGGTGTGGCTCTGCTCTGCAGTGCTGTGAAAACTGCTTGGAGAGGGGGCCTCTGGGAGCCCCAGGCAGGAGGAGGAGCAGTGCTCCTGGTGAAGAGCCCGGGCATCTCCACCGATCTGCCTTCACCTCACCCAGCTCTGGGCCTGTGCGCTCTTTCTCTGCCAGGCTCGGCCCGCCCACAGGAGCCGGGAGCCCTCACCAAGGAGAACAGGACTTGGGTGACTGCTGTGACTCCTTCCAGAAGCTTCTATGACCCCGCACCTTCTGCCCACCTGTCTCCACAGGCCCCACCCCTGCGTCCAGCCTCAGGCACACCCATTGGGATCCCTCCATTCCTCATGCCCCCACGCCCTGGTGCAGATGGGTCTGGATGGACTCTAGCCCCCCAGGAGATGCCAGTATGGCAGAGCTGCAGAGAGAGAAGCTGGCTGGGGCAGCTGCGGCAGCCAAGCCCCTCAGCACTGGCAGGGGTGGCCAAGGGAGGTGCTGGGTAGGCAAAGAAATTCTTAGAAAATCCTGGCTAGACCAGAAACTCCCAGAACAATGGCCTTCTAAGGAAAGGGGGCTGGCAGTGCGGTCTCCCAGGCAGCGTCGCTGGAGACTCAGGTCGCTAAAGTGGAGGCACCGGGCACAGCCATTCCTCCCCACGGCAGCTTTGCAGTGTCCACTGAGAGCAAGCGTGCGTTTACAGACCTGCAGCCACAGGGACACCTGTCAGAGAGGGCAGGT
The DNA here is from genome assembly GCF_000001405.40 of Homo sapiens. NCBI lineage: Eukaryota > Metazoa > Chordata > Mammalia > Primates > Hominidae > Homo > Homo sapiens. Next base: position 2,887 of record NT_187547.1, on the reverse strand, counting down.
GTCTTTTCTCCTCACCCAAGCAAGGCCCAGCACCCTGGCTCAGAGGCTTCCACAGAAGCCCCCTTGGCACCTTCACCAGAGGCAGCAGGGGCAGCATGCGGAACCAAGACATCACTGCAAGTCGTGGACAGGGATAAGCGGGCTGTTGCGTGGACAAGGTGGGCAGATGTGGGGAGCGGGAGCAGCCTCCAGGCAGTGTGGCCAGAGGCTGAATGCGGAGAGGGGGAGGGACTCAGAGAGGAGAACACGGACCACGCTCCTGGTCACCATAGGTCAGGCCTCCACGCGGCAGCCAACTGGGGAGGACACTGTGGACGCCTGCAGACGCTGAGACCTGCAACCTGGCCCTCCCAAGACAAGCTGCTGATGGCTGTGGGCCGGCTGTCACCACAGGACCCTGATCACCCTGAGAAATGCCAGTTGGAGGAAGCAATATGGTCACCCTGTGTGAGCCATAAGTGAGGGTTTATAGCATAATCCTAATGAGGAACTTTGTCTGAAGTCTGAGGCTGAGTTACTTCAACTATTTGAAAGTTGGCTACGATAAACCAAGGCGTCCAGGCAGTGACCTGCCCACATGCAGGGAGAGCTTTGGTGCGGACTGCGGCCGCTAAATACCACTTCCCAGCAGAAGGCCCAGGGCTCCTCAGCCGGGCTTGCTCCAGGTCACAGGTGGGAAATGCAGAGATGAAGATGGGACAGCACGGCGCAGCCCACATCAGGGAAGCTGGCAGGGGCCGGGCGCGAGCGCTCACGCCTGCAGTCCCAGGAGCACGGCGCGGCCCAAATCAAGGAAGCTGGCAGAGGCTCATGTCCTGAGGGCTGGCTCGAGGCCTACCCAGCTCACACTCACGTGACAGGGATCCAGCAACAGCCAATGCCGAGCCTGGTGCAGGAGCAGCACAGCAGACCAGTGGGAACTGACCCTCTCTGGGTCTAGATGCAACCACCAGCTTCCAGAAAGCCCCAATGACAACAAGGAGATGCAATCAATCAGAAAATGCAGAGAACTCCACAAAACACAAAACTCCACAAAACACAGCCCAAATCCATTGCAGCAAACAAGGAGGAGCTGGAGGACCCTCCTGATCCACACGCACCAGAGGCCCGAGGGAGCTCGTTCACCCCTCCACCTTGCGAGGACACAGAAGGTGCCATCTATTGACCCGGAGGGGGTCCTTGGCAGACACCAAATCTGCCGGCATCTTGGACTTCAGCCTCCAGAATGGTGAGAAGTCCGTGTCTGCTGTTCGGGAGGCACCTCGTCTGTGGTCCTTTGTGACAGCAGCCGCGCCAAGCAGGGCGGGCACAGTGGGAGTGCACGTGACCCCGGCCTGGCCACACACCGTCATTCTCCGGGCTGGGGGACAGGTCCCAGGCCCACTGTATTATCACTGCTTTGGTGTTCTAGGTTGAATTTTGCGCCCCCTTCCCCAATTCCTGTTGATGTCCTGACCCCCAGGACTCCAGAGGGTGACTGTATTTGGAGAAGGGGCTGTTAGAGAGGTGACGAAGGTAAAATGAGATCATCTGGGGGCCCTGAGCCAACCTGCCTGGTGTCCTTATAAGAAGAGGAGATGAGGACACAGACACCCAGGGAGGGACGGCCCTGTGAGGACACAGGGTGAAGGCACCATCTGCAAGCCCAGGAGAGGCCTCAGGAGGAACCAGCCCTGCTGCGCCTCGGTCTCGGACTCCAGCCTCCAGGATGGTGAGACAACAATGTCTGTGGTTTAAGCCCCATCTGAGGCACTTTATTATGGAAGCCGGAGCTGAGAAAGACACTTGACATATGTTTGAAATTTCCCATGATAAAAAGTATAAAAGTGATGACTCTTGGCTTAAATGTAAACAAGGCCATCCAAATGTTGGCCTGGAACTCTCTGGAAGTCTCTGAGTGAAGGCGCCGGTGGTCACAATGCCCAGGCCCAGGCTCTCTGATTTCAGGCAGCTGGCAAACCCCTCCCTCGTCTCTGCCAAGGCCACCAGGGCCGTAAGCAGCCCCAGGCCCCAGCATCACCCGGCGTTTCACAATCAGTGCTGAACTCAAAGACACGAGGTTGCCAGAGAACATGTGGTCCCTCTCGTGTGCACTCACGCCATCGCGGTGCCCGACAGGGGTGCTGCGGTGAGGCCCACCAGGCGCAGGGATGCTGCGGCCCCTCCGAGCCCACTTGTTGGAGATGTCACACTGCAGTGCCCCAGCCAGTGAAGGGGCTCCAATGCACCTGCAACGAGGCAGGGGTGGAGGGGAGGCTGCCCAAAGGATGGCGCCCGGAGACTCGAAGGCCGCGAGGCCGCGTCATCCCGCACAGGCGGCCGGGGCAGATGCTCAGTGCCAGCCACCCCAAGCTCTACGGTTAGCGCGGTGGAGGCAGCTCACAGGAATGCTCCCTCCTGAAGGTGCATCCCAACATTGCTGCTTTAATTATGTGGAAAAAATTATCCCAACTCCACAGGATATGCGACAGTGCGCTTGCAAATCCACGAGAGAACGTGCACTCCTCCCACGGTGAGAGGGCGAGCGGCAGCACACACAGGCGCCTGCTGTCCAAGGTCTAATTTTCTTTTGCTTTTTCCTTTTAGAGAAAGAACAACTTTTGAAAGCACAGCAGTTCTCTCAGGCATCCCATCGGACGGAGCCGGCACTTCCATCAGCAAACACCACCAGCCCGCCCTCGGCATCTGAGAGCTGGAGGGAGCTTCGGGAATCACCCACTCCCGTCCAGCACCCACAGACACAAACCGAGCAAGGCAGCAGCAGGAAACGCCCTCCTTTTCTGTCTCCCCAATCACCAAAACACCTTTATTCATATAACATGACTTCTGGTCCAAACCAAACGCTGCCTTCAAATATGGAATCAGCGATCACGCCCACAATGAATTC